>NC_000007.14:147034137-147185652 GCF_000001405.40 Homo sapiens
GTAAGGTAATTTCCGGGCATTGCCATGCCATCTGTAAACTGTCTTGGTGCTGGCAGGAGTGCCTTTTAGCAAGCTAATGAAATATAATTTGTGGATAACAAACAATGAGGACAACTAGAGGTTGCTTTCTTTGCCGTCTTCGTTTTAGCTTGTTTATTTTCTGCATTTGAAACAGGAGTTTTCCCTTTTCCTCTTCACAGGGCAAGTGATAGGGGTGTGGCTCACTTCTTCAGTGCTCCCCTGCTCAAACCCATAGGGAGAGCGTGCAGATGGGCATGTCATGGAGCTCAAACCCCATGGCGGTGTCTAGGGTTTAGTGTTTACAGCTCCTGAAGCCCTAGTGGGTGTGTGTTACCTTGTGCTCTCTTAGTTTTGCCATCTGCAGGTGGCTTGTGTTAATCGGTTCAATTAGACCCCCTGCCTTACTGCAAGGACAGAGAGCTTTCTGTACCCTGGGTTCTTGCCTTGGTGTATCAGAAAAATCGGATCACATGTGGTCTTCAAGAATGGGTGTAAGGTTTTACTGAATGGAGGCGGGTCTCAGCGAGGTGGATGGGGAGGTCAGAAGGGGGATGGAGTGGGAAGCTGGTCCTCCCCTGGAGCTGGGCCACCCAGCTGCCAGACTCTCCTCCAGCGTCCCTTGGCTGAATCCGGTGTGCTTTTCCACTCCTCTGCTCCTCTCGATGTCCAGACACTTGTGGCTGTGTCCACTAGGGTCTCAGGGTTTTTGTAGGCACAGGATGAAGGGTGTGGAGGGCCAGAGTGGTCTTAGAAAATGCAACATTTGAGCGCAAAAACAGAAATGCCTGTCTGCACTTAGTTCCGTGGGCACAGGCCCCAGGGTGGAGCCCCACCAGGACCCTGCCCTTCTCTATCCAGCACTTCTCTGCCCTCCTCCCATATCGCATTCTGTTTTGACCAGATCCTGCTTTAATCAGTAGAGTCCTGACTGGTGCTCAGAAAAAAAGTCCTGCTGATCTCCTACTATGAGGCACCCTATGGAACGAGGGGATTGAGGGGTGGCGAGGCAAGGTCCCTCCTGTCAGGAAGTGCTGTCTGAGCTGAGTCCTACAAGATGTGGAAGGCCAGCCAGATGAAACTAATGAGCAGAGACTCCAGGGGAAGAGGCCAGATTGGAAGGGTAACAGGTGCAGTATTTTATGAAGGTCCTTCTTATCTTCCTGCCTCAGCAGGGAATATAGCTAGTCCTGGAAACTCACATCAAGGCCGCAAAATGGAAAATCTATTTCTACATTTTGACATAAGTTGTTAGCATGGGGAAAATAAAATCTAAAATCTGGCAAGAAATAAAATTTCAATTAAAGGGAAGTGATTGTAATGATCACAGGTTTAGTATATTAACATAAAGAATAGTCAATATGTGTTTCAATGCCACAGAGTCATTTTATGTTTTAAGCAAGTAAGATCTCTCACTTTAGGGAACATTCACGTCATTCTCACATAAGTTCCCACCTATGAGACCTGTTGTCAGTAGCGAAAAGCTCTTCCTAGATTTAGTTACACAATAGCTAATTGTTTTAGGCACTTTTTTTTAGTCTTAAGTAAAACCTTTACATGAAGATACAGAGTCTCATTCATTCGCTATAGGAGCTTGTGATCTTTTATGTTAGGTCTCCTAAAAAGTGAGGATTTAGTTAGGAATAAATATACTTATTCTCATCATAAAATAATTTGTGTTACACTTCAAACCCCATAATAGTAAATTTGAGAAAAAAAAAATGTTAGTTCATGCATCATACATAGCATACTTCTAGTACTTTATATAGTCTCCTCCAGTTTGATAAATTATATTTTCCAAGTGATTACAAAATACTTTTCCAAAGTTTACTGGTTCTTAACTGTCAACTGGCTGGAAAGTCTTAGACTTGTGCATCCTGTCTAACTTGCAAGAAAGATTTAATTTCAAAGACTCTTAGTCCATGGGCTGGCAAACTGTAGCCCATGGGACAAATCTTGTCCACGCCTGTTCTTTTAAAGTTTGTGAGCTATGAATAATTTTTACATTTCACAAGTGTATTTTTTAAAAAAAGGAAGAATAATAATATGGGACAGAGGAGCATGTGACCTGCAAAGCCTAAAATATTTACTGTCTGGTACTTTGCAGAAATGCTTTGCTTCACTACCTCTTAGACCATCTGAAATATTGTTTTAGCTAGAAAAAACAGTGCACCTAGTGGAAAATTTTCAGTTATTAAAACTTCAGGGATGTTTATTCTAAAATTAACATTGTGGATGACTTACAATATGTTAAAAAAGTTCTAAATTTTGGTATGTATTTGTACAATTTATAAGACAAGAACTCTAAAAGTAGAACCATAGGTTTAACATTTTATTATATTGATTTTAACTTTCCTTAACATCAAGCTTTGTGAGATACATATATGCTATCTTAATTATAATAATAAACCCTATTCTAAGCATATATACAAATCACTGCCTCTAAGAGAGATTTAATAGCCAGAACATGAAATTCACAAGTTGTTGTAAATGGATTTTTTATTCTTTCAATGATAAATTTGGCTGGCATTTTTTATGTATCTGCAAAGCACTTGTATACTATTTGTCTAAATGAAGGTTTGATTATAAAGAGTATTGTTCTATGCAAGAAAGATTCAACTTTGCTTTAAGTTTTTAATTTTTGATGCAGGTTTCCAAATCTTAAAGATTGTATAAAAACTCAGCTGTGTATCTTTTTTTCCTTTTCACACCTATATGAAAAACTGTAAATGAGTTTTTAAAAGAGCCAAGTGATATGAAAAAATGCTCCTTTTCAAGACCTATGATAGTTTATTCTTTACTTTAGTATTTACTAAATAAGATGCCCCCTAGCTGACAAATTCTTCTTTCCTTTTAGGAAACAGTGTCATTCAAACTTTTAAATTACTTGTATTAAAACTGCAGAGGACTTTGGGTGCTGATAATCACAAAAGAAGCTTGATTTAGGTAAATGTGTGAGAAAACATAATATTATTGATTTTGTAAAAATTTGTAGAAATAAAAAATAAGGAGAGAAGTAAAATATGAACACTATATTAGATGTACTATCTAATAAATAGACCAGATATCAAATGTGTATCTAAAAAGTGATATGATAAAAAGCATCCATCAGACTTTAAATTTGATATTCAAATATATAACATTAAATATCAAAAATAAAATATATTGTATATAAATGGGAAGATATTTATTTCTAGTTGACAATTTGATTCTCAAATGAAGAGAGTGGAAGAACTTGTTACTTTGTCCCAAGTTTGTCTTTACTAGGTATTCGACATCCAGTTTTGTTTTTTTTTTCCCTTTTTTTTTTTTTTTTTTTTATTGAGATGGAGTTTCGCTCTTGTTGTCCAGGCCAGAGTGCAGTGGTGCGATCTTGGCTCACTGCAACCTCCACCTCCCAGGTTCAAGTGATTCTCCTGCCTCAGCCTCCTGAGTAGCTGGGATTACAGGTGCATGCCACCATGCCTGGCTAATTTTTTGTATTTTTGGCAGAGACGGGGTTTCACCATGTTGGCCAACTTCTCTGAGTCTGTTTCCTGATTTGAAAAAATAGCATCCCTGACAATTTTAGAGTTTTCTTTGAGGCACAAACAATACAGACTATACTAGAACCGTTTAAATAATAGATATATACATGTTAGACGTTGTTTTTATTAAATCAACGGCTACATCTCCTTTTATGTTTCCTACCTTATCAAATACTGATATTTATGGAGACATTTCACATATATTTACAGCTTTGTAATCAAGACAATCAATGGTTCACGCCTATGGTATTCTTTTGAAATATTTAAAGCTTCAGTTAGGAAAATGTCTTAAATCTCAATATGCTTGGATGAAAGAAGTGGAAAAATCACAATCTATTGGCACACACCTATAGTCCTAGCTACTCAGGAGGCTAAGGTGGGAGGATCGTTTGATCACAGGAATTCAAGGGTTACAGTTAGCTATGACTGTGCCACTGTACTCTAGCCTGGGTGATAGAGCCAGACCCTGTCTCTAAAAATAAAATATAACAATAAAAATAACAACAGAAGCACAAACTATTGATTTTGAGAATCCTGAAGAAAATATATAGCATGCATTTTTCCATAAGTAAAGCAAAGGCAAACCTTAGGTAAAGCACTATTATTCTAAACCTCAAATGTCCAATAACATCTTTTAATTTTGCTGGTGAAATCTCAAATGCAGTATATCTAAATCTTCACTAATTATCTTTCCCTTCAAATATTGTTGTATTAGTCAATGTTATTTCAGTTGCTCAGAAACAAACAAATAAGGAAACAGATCAAATAATCCAAAACACCTTAGCAAGCTCTGGATTTAGATTTCTCAAATGATGTCATCGCAGATGTGCTTACTTTGTCTTTCTCTGACTTCCACTCCTTTGTAATATCAAAATGGCCAACAGAAGCTCAGTGGGAAGAGCACCTCCATTCCTGCAGTTTTGTTTGTTTTCTTTTCACTCAGCGTGCATTGGAGATCCCAAGGTGTGGTAGCTGTCCTGCTGTTCTTCCACACCAATGTTCCAAACCTCTCCTCCCTGAACAACCTCTGAAGCACTTGTGGCCATATTATTTCATCTATCATTTTGTATTTTACATTATGCAATGGTCTTCTACTATCTTCTTGGGAATTTCTCTTTACTCAGAGAGGGGGATTTTAGTGCTTTCATTGTTAAAAATTATAAGATGTATAACTTTCTTGCTTAAAACTCTCTAGTAGATTTCCCTTCCAGCACACATAAATGAAATCTAGAGCGTGATCATAATGTACAGGCCCTCCTCATTCTGTCCTTGACCTCTCCATCTTCTCCCCTGTTCATTCCTTCTTCACACTCTTCCAACAATACTGACTTCCTTGCTACCCCCACAAACAGGCACAGTATGCTCATGCCATTTGCCTTTCTGGCCTTTGCATAAACGATATATGTAATTGTATAATTATAGGATTTACATATAAAAACATATATAACAATATGTACATATTACATATAACATAGTGTCAGTATTGTATGTGTAGGTATACATATATGTGTATGTGTGTATGTGTATATATATAGACACATATTCAGGTTCAGGAGTACATGTGAAGGTTTGTTACACAGGTAAACACTCATGTGACAGGGGTTTGTTGTACAGATTATTTCATCACCCAGGTATTAAGCCCAGTACCCAATAGTTATCCTTTCTGCTCCTCTCCCTCCTTCCACCCTCCACTCTCCAGGAGACCCCAGTGTCTGCTGTTTCCTTCTTTGTGTTTATTAGTTCTCATCATTTAGCTCCCACTTACAAATGAGAACATGTGGTATTTGGTTTTCTGTTCCTGCATTTGTTTGCTAAGTATAATAGACTCCAGCTCCATCTCATTCTTTTTTATTGCTGCATAATTTTCCATGGTGTATATGTAGCACATTTTCTTCATCCAATCTGGGTTGATTCTATGCCTTTGCTATTGTGAATAGTGCCAGAGTGAACATTTGCATGCATGTGTCTTTGTGGTAGAATGATTTATATTCCTCTGAGTATATTCCCCATAATGGGATTGCTGGGTCAAATGGTAGTTTTTCTTTTAGCTCTTTGAGGAATCATCATACTGCTTTCCACAATGGTTAAACTAATTTCCATGCTCACCAACAGTGTATAAGTATTTCCTTTTCTCCAAAACCTAAATGTAAAACCCAAAATTATAAAAACTCTGGAAGACAACCTAGGCAATACCATCCTGGACATAGGAATGGGCAAAGATTTCATGCCAAAGACATGAAAAGCAATCATAACAAAGCAAATATTGACAAATGGGATCTAATTAAACCTAAGAGCTTCTGCACAGCAAAAGAAGCTGTCAACAGAGTATAACAGACAATCTATAGAATGGGAAAAATATTTGCAAACTTTGCACCTGACAAAGGTCTAATATCCAGCATCGATAAGGAACTTAAACAAATTTACAAGAGTAAAACAACCCTGCTAAAAAGTGGGAAAAGGATATGAACAGACACTTTTCAAAAGTGGCCAACAAGCCTATGAAAAAAAGCTCACTATGTAGTTTAATAATATAAATGCCATGAAAACTGCAACTCTGTCTACATTGTTGATTTGAACAATATCTGCTACATAGAAGACTCTCAAATATCTCCTGAGTGAATGAAAGGTGAATGAATAAATACGTAAGTAAATGTATGAATGAAGCATTTTAGCAGAAGGGCTAAAACTGAGTCTCATTGAGTTAGGTGCCCACCCCTGGTGGTAGGGAGTAGTGTCTGCCTCTCTAGCATCATATGGATTAAGAGTGAATTTTTTTTTTTTTTTTTTTTTTTTTTTGAGACAGAGTCTGGCTCTGTCACCCAGGCTGGAGTACAGTGGCGTGATTTCAACTCCCTGAAACCCCTGCCTCCTGGGTTCAAGTGATTCTCCTGCCTCAGCCTTCCAAGTAGCTGGGATTACAGGCGTGCATGACCACACCTGGCTGATTTTTGTATTTTTAGTAGAGATAGGGTATCAGCATGTTGGCCAGACTGGTCTTGAACTCCTGACCTCAAGCGATCAGCCCACCTTGGTCTCCCAAAGTGCTGTGATTACAGGTGTGAGCCACTGCGCCTGGGGAAGAGTAGAATATTAAGAGTGAACTTTTTAAAGAAAAGCCAGATGCTATTACTCAAAGGGAAGAGGTTGCTGAGCAGTCGAGCAATAAATGTTCATCATATCTTTCCCTCTCTTCCCTTTTCTGTCACCAATGCCTGCACACTAATATCTTGGAATAGGTTGATTATATCTTCTACTCCCTTCTTTCAAGATGTTAATAATTCTTCTTTTGAAATATCAAATCTGTCTTTTATTTATTTATTGCCCCTACCACCACATTGGTGTTGACCTTCAATTACTTGTTGCTAATCTTCTTGCTCCCAGTATGATTTCCCATTACCCTGGATCTCATTAATATGGCTTTTATTGTTATTTCTTAACAACAAGAACAACAACAACAATACATGCTATATTATTTTGTCTCTAATCAGACAGAACCTGTTAAAAGATTTATGATTTTTTTCAACATAACTACTTTCTGCCAGTCAGACTTGTGTCTTTATTCCTATTCCTTGTGTATTCCTGAACACCCTTGGTTCATGTTTCCCGAGAATCTACAATCTTAGTTCAAAAATTCATTTTACCAATAAGCGCATCAAATCTTTTTGTGAGAGACATACAGGGGAAAGGAAAAGTATTTTTTTTAAGTCCTAGAGAGGCTACCCATACAAAGCAAAATTTCAGCATAACTATCCCTGGACTCTGGGTCTTATACCCTAGGTCTGAAATCCTCCTTTATGCCAACCTATTCTTCAATATATCCTAGCCCCTTTCTCTCTTGTCTTTCAAACACCACTCTGTCCTTCTATGCAGCTGAGCTCTAACTCTGTAGAATTTGCCTGATTACATAGCCTTCAGGGAACTCCAAATATCGGTAAAATTACTAGTTACGTAATGCACTTCCATAGTTCCTTTTAATGCTGCCTTTTGCAATATCTTTTTAGATTTTATTTTAGGC
This sequence comes from Homo sapiens, assembly GCF_000001405.40. Taxonomy (NCBI): domain Eukaryota; kingdom Metazoa; phylum Chordata; class Mammalia; order Primates; family Hominidae; genus Homo; species Homo sapiens. The sequence goes on from NC_000007.14 coordinate 147,041,698, forward strand.
CTCATAAGACTGCAGATGTCTTAGAGACAGTGTTTCAGGAGAGATTTTTGTTGTTTTTCTAAATATTGACATAAAACCTAGCAACATGCTAAGCATATAGTTAATTTTCAAGTTGAAATTGTTTGGTGGCTTTTGTTGAGTATTATTTAAGATCATAAATTTTGGATTAACCCATATCCAATTGTAGATTTAATTCAAGTGATTTTGGTCAAGGATTCTAATTGTTCTTGCATTTGAAGCCAGAGAACCCAATAGAGATCTGAAAATATAGCCATGGTTTAATGGAATGCTTGTTTAGATTTTTAGATTCTTTGTAAAACTAACAGCTGGCTAGAAAAGTACCTACAAAGAAAATGTCTTTTTAGAAATTGTTTTTCTGATGAAATTTTGTCAACAAGATGCAATGAGGATGCTCTATTAAGTGTTAAAATTCAAGACATACTGCTCAAATAGTTTTGTTTTATGGATTACAGAAGTGTATGGCTATTTTTAAAAGGCAGTGGTAGTACGCAGCTCATTTGAGAAAACCAAGAAGAGCACAGCAGGAATCGTCACAGAAGAACATCCCAATTTTTAAAACATGTAATTGTCCATGTTATAGACTAAATATTATCCATTATGTGGATTGCTGGTACCATCTAAAGGTTACATAAAATTGTTTCAATGCGGAGGAAATCTTTCAGTATACTTCTCATAATTACTAGGCCTTACATTACACATTTTGTATTTCGGAGCGCAGGAATTTGACCGGGGAATGCGGGTTGGATAACAGATCTACTACAAACTTGCATTTGTGTTGCTTGGATGAACTTAAGCCAGTGCTTTCAATTCCGAAGCTACTCTGTATTTTTTTTTAATTAAAAACATCTCTCGCTCTTTACTTTGTATGAGTAGTCTAACTTTAAAACATCATTATTAAAGATAATTTTTTTAAAAGACAAAACTCCTGGTTTTAGATAGAAGCAAATTCAGTCCTTAGGCAAAGAAGACAACATACTAACAATGTAATATAATGCCTGTGTTGCATCTTTTCATGATTTAAAAAATAATTTTTAAAATTTCTATTTGTATGATTTTAAGATAATTTAAATCTGAAAGTTAATATCTTCTAAAAGATAAGGCTAAAACCTCAAGTTATCTATTATAGGGACATTTAGAATGCATATTTGTATGATTTTAAGATAATTTAAATAAATCGAAAAGAGAATATCTTCTAAAAGATAATGCTAAAGCCTCAACTTGTCTATTATAGGGACATTTAGAATGCATATATGAAGCTGAAACTGCTCATGTTTAAAATAGCACAAGCTTTCATTTATTTGAATTATATCTTCTAAAATATAATAGTTTCTTTCTTTAAATCTTCCTTGAATTATAACTTTATACTGACATTTTCTTTTTCATTAGATGGTAATTTTTTGAGAGTCGAGTCTATGGTTTCACACATCCTTGAATATCCCATATTATCTTGCTCTAACTTATGAAATAGATAGTTTGTAAATCCTTGTTGAATGATCGTTATGTATGCCTCCCAAAAAATCCATTTGTTCTCCGCTGAGAGGAAAAAAATAAAAAATAAAATTAAAAAAAAAGACAATGTGAACTTTCAGTATCAGATAAAAATTCATGGATAATTATTCTTTTGACAGAATCTTCTATAATGAAAAAAACTGAATTAACATGTTTCTGATCCATTGAACAAATTCTCTAAATGTGTCTACTCCAATAAAAGGTAGAAAACCCTGACCTCTTCACAACGTGTTCAATTGTTCTTCTTCTCTCACTAATGTTGAAATGTTATCTTTAAATTTCTAATGGTTTTATGGGAGAAAATGTGGAGGAGAATTTTAGAGAGCAAGACATATGGTTAGATGCTATAAAAATCATTTATTGTATAAATTAAATGCAAAATATTAGAACTCATTTCAATGTGTATGGAACACAACAGTGGATGCCATTTAGTCTTTCATTCTTTTAACGTATGTTTACATGGATGAAAAGACCCACAGAAAATCTGACCTGTTTTCCACTTAAAACTGGACCTATTTTCACATTAAGAGTAAGGAAGCAGCTTTCTTCAAATTATTTACGGTGTAAGAAATCACAAGCCCTACCATTGGATGACATTTGTGTTTATTCTAGTAGACAGAGGACATGATTGTTTCTAAAGTATTTTTCCCAATTTTTAAAATACTATTTCCTTTTCCAGGCATTTCCCGGAAACATTAACTCTGACGGTGTGGTCCGGCACGAATTACAGCATCCGATTATTGCCCGCTATGTGCGCATAGTGCCTCTGGATTGGAATGGAGAAGGTCGCATTGGACTCAGAATTGAAGTTTATGGCTGTTCTTACTGTGAGTATCGTATTGTTTAAATTTGTGGCAGGTTTTATCTTTATTTAAATAGTAAGCTGTTTTATTTTAAATTATTTAACATTACTTGCTTTCTCTGACAATAAACTACCTTCTCATTTACATATATATGTATCTATGCATAGATACATATATATATAATAAAAGGTTGTGTCTCTATTTGCATGTTATAAATGTATATTATAAACACGTACAGAGACTGACATGTCATATATCTTAATTATACTTTAGGTTGAAGATTTGGAAAGGTTTTTTTTGTTCAATAGACTAAATAATAAAGCTTATTAATAAAATTGCCTTGCCTTATGAAATATTTAAAAAGGGGAAACCTATATTGTTATCTATGTATTTGGGTCTTTATTATGGGTTTTGAAAACATTTCGAAGAACTTCCTTCGGGTTCACTAAGTATCTCTCTTCAGTTATGCCTATTCCTATACTAAAGCCAATCACTGGGTTTTAAAGTCAATGACGCTTTCTCTACCAAATTTAATTTATTTTTTCAAATTGATTTGGTCATCTAAAGAGGTTATTTTCCCTTAAATATATTTTAAAGCTCCCTTGTTATTTCTTAAATACATTATGCATATATCTAAGGATTCCAACATATGAATTTGGGGGATTATAATTCTTCTGTCTATTGTTGCTGCTAATTTTTGCAAATGGTACTTGTTTTCTCCTACTCCTCTTCCTCTCTCTTTTTCTTCTTATCTTGTTTGCCTGTCTGTCCTTTTTATCCTTATCCTTATGCTTATCCATATTCTTTACTGTGACCTCAATTTCTTTAAAATTTTATCTGTGGAAATTTGTTTGGGCCAAGGTTGATGGTGAATTCTTCTTGAGAGGATATATCTTTGCTTATTTGCTTCTGTGAAGGCGATACCAACACAGAACTGCTTTCAAGATTATCTCCAGTTGTGGTTGTTGTTTCTTTATGAGACTGCTAGATAGTATAAATTTAATCTACGAACACGTGATTTGCAAACATTGGCTTCAAAATATGAATTCCCTAGTAAAATATACTTTCCTCATTCCCGGAAATTTTTCTTCCAGCTGTTACAATTCCCTGGGGGAACAAAGATGCTGGGTATGAACAAGGAGGGGATTTGGTTTCTCTATGTTATGCAAAAAGTCTCTTATTAGCCCGTTTCCTACTCATTCCTATAAACCCACAAAAATGAGTTCACACTAAGCAGAAAATTTCAAATGCCCCCGTTGGACAAGCTTTCTAAAATGCCCTAGACACTTAGTATTTTATATAAAAGAATATATGAAGCTTTCACCTCTGTACACATTTAGTAACAGAAATTGGTCAAAATATTAGCTATAATAGTGCCCGAATACTGTCTTATTAATTCATAGGCAATAGTGTTATGTGCAAACTACAATAAAGGGGTCATGGAGGTCATTTAAAAATTCTCAAAAACTGTTTATTTGGTTACCATTTTATTGTAGCAGATAAAATTAGTAGAGAGACAAAAGATTTAGCTCTTCAGGAGAATGTAGCTCTTTAAAAGGAAAATTTAGCATTTCTGGTAAGGCCCAAAAAGAGGTCTAACATAAATTAGAATCTTTGGTCCTATGTGGTCTAGACATTCATGAACAGAGTGTCATGTTCACACATAGTCTTGCTCTCAGCATAGCATCATGACGGGAAGGCCAGAAGAAAATGTGATATTTTTGTGACCATCACAAATTTTGTTAAGAGCCATGTTTAACTTTTAGTAAATAAATACAGACACACACACACATATATATAGGTATATATACACACACATATACATACACACACACACATATACGTGCATATATATATATATAATCCTTCATGGAGACTACGTGTATGTGCAATTTATTTTATTAGCAATTATTTAATGAGCACTTTTCATGTGTGATAAATATATTAAATGGTAGCATTACCACAGTAGATGAGAAAGACATGGTCTTTGTGAGATGAAGTGGGACAAATAATTTAATAGAGTTAATAATAATAAAAATAGTAAAAGTTAAAATTTACCCAAAAGCACATAGCCTGAGTGATAGGTCTGAAAGGGAACCCAGGTAGTCTGGTACAGTGCCAAAGCTCACTATCACCGTTCTGTTTTTAATCCCAGCAAAATAAGCACCCACCTGACCGTCCACAGTTTAATCAAAACATCATGTCAACACCCCGCAACCACTGAGTAGGCCTTCTCCCAGTTACTGCAACTCCTTAAACATAAAAATTCACCTGATTTGTATCACCAAAGATTAGTTCTTGTTTTTCAAAAAAATTTCACACAGATGGAGTCATAAAAGATGCATTATTTTACACTTGACTTCTTTAGTTACAAATCATATTTCTGAGAATTATCTGTGCTGATATTAGAGATATTAGTTTCTTTTCCTCAGTATTATTCTATCTTGTGAATATTCTACAATCATTTGTTTATTTCATGCTGATGAACGTTTGAGTTGTTTCTAGATGTTGGCTATTTATACAGAATTACTAAAAATGTTTCCAATGGGTATAGACTTGGGGGGGTAATAACAAACTAGCATATATGTGTGTTCACCTTTGGCCAATAACAACACAAATTTTTCTAATTTGGTTATATCAATTTAAAGTCTCCAATGCAATTAACTGGAGTTCCTGATGCTTACAAATTAAGATATTTAGTATTGTTTAAAAGTTTAGGCCGGGCGCGGTGGCTCACACCTGTAATCCCAGCACTTTGGGAGGCCAAGGAGGGCGGATCACGAGGTCAGGAGATCGAGACCATCCTGGATAACACGGTGAAACCCCGTCTCTACTAAAAATACAAAACAAAATTAACTGGGCATTGTGGCGGGCGCCTGTAGTCCCAGCTACTCAGGAGGCTGAAGCAGGAGAATGGCGTGAACCCGGGAGGTGGAGCTTGCAGTGAGCCAAGATTGCACCACTGTACTCCAACCTGGGCGACAGAGCCAGACTCCGTGTCAAAAAAAAAAAAAAAAAAAGTGTAGCCATTCTGGTGAGTGTTTGTCATGTCTCATTTTAGTTAAGTTATGTTTCTTTTTTTTTTTTTTTTTTTTTGAGACGTAGTCTCGATTTGCCACCCAGGCTGGAGTGCAGTTGTGCAATCTTGGCTCACTGCATGCTCTGCCTCCCGGGTTCATGCCATTGTCCTGCCTCAGCCTCCCGAGTAGCTGGGACTACAGGTGACCACCACCACGCCCGGCTAATTTTTTTTTTTTTTTTTTTGTATTTTTACTAGAGATGGGGTTTCACCATATTAGCCAGGATGGTCTTGATTTGCTGACCTCATGATCCGCCCACCTGGGCTTGTTTCTGATTTTTGAAAGAGGTTATGCTTATTGGTCATACGTATACCTTTTTTTTAAGTGTTCAAGAATCTTGCTCATATTTCTATGGATTCCCATTTATCTATCTATTTATATATCTATCATCTATATAGCAATCATCTGTTTGATTGTTTTAAGTAGTTTTTGCAGGCAACTCTTCTTCATTCTCATTACAATTGCTAGACACGTATTTATTTTTGAGGTGACATTTTTTTAACAATAATAATTTTAAAGCAAACATTGTCAATGAAGTTACTTAAGATCCACAGGTGTAGACTTAAACTGTGACCACATGTTCTGTAATTGTTACAAGTAGATTTATAAAGTTGTGAGTTTGTGCTGTCATGGGCTTTTCCATCAAGCCTGGGCTTTGACAATTACAAGACAAGAAGGAAAAATAACTGAAGCAAATCAGGAAGCGAGACTTTTCCACTGTATAAGTCCCTTTGGGGGAAAATCATATAGCTTTGGGAAACTGTATTAACATTTATATCAATAGATGCCAGTGGAGTAAGTAACTTAGCAACACAAAATTTAAAAAGTAGCATTTCAGTTGGATGTAGTAGGTTGGGTAATGGCCTATCATAACATAAAGCCTTTATTCTTGGAAGTTGTAAGCATATAAGTATTTGCAGATGTGACTAAGTTAACAATCATGACACGGAGAGACAATTTTTTTTTTTTTTTTTTTTTTTTTGAGATGGAGTCTCGCTCTGTTGCTCAGGCTGGAGTGCAGTGGCGTGATCTCGGCTCACTGCAAGCTCTGCCTCCCGGGTTCACGCCATTCTCCTGGGGAGAGGCAATTTTACATTAGCCAGGTGGGCCCTAAGTGCAATCACATGTGTCATTGTAAAAGGTAGACAGGGAGAGATTTCACAGATGGGAAAGAAGGAGAGAATGTGAACACCTTGGAACCAGAGGCTGTAGTGATATGGCGATAAGCCAAGGAAGGCCAGCAGCTCAAAAGGCAGATTTTTCTCTGGAGGGAATGTGATCTTGCCAACACATCGATTTCACTCAGTGATGCTGCTTTGGAACTTCTGACCTCCGAAGTTGTGAAAGAACAAATTTCTGTTATTTTAAGCCACTAAGTTTGGGATAATCTGTTATAGCAACAACATGAAACTAATACAAGAGTCAATATATTTTAGAAAAGAAAAGACAAAAATCGGCCTGAGCAATGTTCTCTGATAGAACTTTCTACAAAGATGTAGATGTTGTCAATATGCTCTAGCCACTAACCATATGTGGCTACTAGCATGTGAAATATAGCTAAGACAACTGTGGAACCAAATTTTTAATTTAATTTAATTTTTAATTCATTTAAATTCAAATTTAAATAATGTGACTACTGGCTACCATATTAGACAGTGCAGCTTAGAGGAACCAAAACATCATGTATGTTTTTCATGTCTTTTTATAACATAAAGGACCTATAAAAGTTATGTTTTAAGTGTCAGTCTCTATTGTTTTTTCTTAGTTTGGAAAACAAAAATTTAATCATCCTGAAAACTGTCTTTACTGTCAATAATGTAATAACCAGTCATCTTACTAACCACACAGTCTTAGTCTGTTTTGTGTTACTATAACAGAATATCTGAGACTGGGTAATCTAGAAAGAACACAGGTGTATTTCTTACCGTTCTGGAGGCTGGGGAGCTCAAGGTCAAGGGACCTGCATCTGGCGAAGGCCTTCTTTTCCCATTGTCTCATAACAGGAAACAGAGCCCTCGTGACCTACTCATGTCTTAAAAGTCCCACCTCTCAACACTGTTGCATTGGGGATTAAGTTTCCAAAACATGAACTTTGAAGGACGCATTCATACCACAGCGTACACCAAATGTCCAGATAAGATTCTTTTTCATTTATTATTTTTGAAGAATGAAAATTACACTTATCTCTTTTCCAAGAAAAATATACATGTTTACATTTTAAAATATATATATGTTAAACATATTTGTTACGAAACACTTTCCAAAAGTTACTTCCAAAAATTTACTGGCTAATGTAAATTTTCTATACTAGAGTTCAAACTAGAATGAGTCCTTAGAAGATGATACTCTGTTCTTGAGCTTAGTGAACTGTTGTCTCAAGAGCTTTCTTTGGATTTTTCAATGAGAAAAGGAATCATATAACTTTGAGTGGGGAATGTAGATTAGACACAGCCCCCCATTTTGGCTTCCTAGAGAATAGCAGTGCTGTGTACTCTAGGGTCTCAGCAAGGAGAAACATAGTTTTGATCCTGCCCGTGGAAGAGAGATGAATTCTCTAATCTGTCTGGAAACTCCTGAAAGGGTGTACCTGGGATCTATCTTAAACCTGCAAGAGAGGGAATGGGGCTTCTTTCACTGCAAAGTTTGCCAGAAAACTAGAGAGAGAGAGAGAAATCACAATGTGAGCACTGTTTCTGTTTGACTGTGTGTCTGGTGCAACTCCCCTTGTGTTTGTCATCTTTCCTTTGTGCAGTTCCTCCATGATCACTTTGTCATCTGAGAAATGAGGTACTTCTCAAGGCTGAAATAAGACGCTGACTCTATTCCAGGTGGAGAATTTCGTTCCAGGCCACTGCTCTGAAGCCTTTAGGGCTTCTATTGTTCCTACTTCCTGACTTGTCTTGAATATAATATGAATTCCAATTTCAATAAATCTAAACTCATTTGAAATCATTCTGCTTCCTCTACGTTTGGTTTTCCCTCAAGTTTAGTTGAAACAAGTGCATGCAGTTATTTTTAAAACTTAGCAATATGTCCCATGCCTTTTGATTCAGTGAGCTTTCTCCCACAGCGCAGACACTAATCTTCTTACGCGATACCAGTGGGACTTCATAAAGCAAAAGGAAGAGGTCTCAGATTAATAATTTCAAAAAATCATTTATGGCTGCATTACTCAAACATTCATTTTAAAAAGCCAAACACAGTGCACTGATTAAAGTACTGAGCGTTTTTGATGGCAAATACTTAATTAGTTTTTAGTCAGAGTCCTCTTAAAAGTAAGGACGGCACCTTGGGAAACCAAGGTACACACATCGAAACTAATTTTTATATAGGCTTTTAATTTGGATGAATAAATAATAAAACCTGTATGTCATTCAATGCAAATCGTGATGGAAAACTGTCTTGCTGCCTGAGAAAAAAAGAAAACATATCAGGAGAAGTTAAATACAAATAAGTAAAAGACAGTGTTTGGTCATTTTCATGCTGTGTTGATGGCACGTCTGCATCTCTAGTGAGAATACCCTCTTCTAGGGTCACACACTAACTCCCCTCACTCTCATTCTTCCCAGGCAAGAGATGCTGCCATGTACAGATGTGTTAGTTTCCTGGGGTCTCTGTAAAACAGTTCTGCAATCTTAAGATGAAATTTAAGACGATGGAAAGGTATTCTATCATGGATCTAGAGGGCACAGTCTGAAGTCAAGGTGTTAGCAAGGGTAGTTCCTTCTGGAAGCTTGGAGAGAGAAACAGTTCCATGTCCCTCGCCCATCTCCTGGTGGTGGCCAGAAGTCCTTGATGTTCTTTGGCTCATTGCTGCCTCATTTCAATCTCTCCTTTGGGTTCACATTCACATGAACTTCTTCGCTTTTGTCTGTGTCTCTGTGTCTTCAAATAGTCTTCTTCTAAGGACATCGGTTATTGGAATTAGGATCTACCCTAAACCAGGATGACCTTATCTTAACAAGCTATATCCACAAAGACCCACTTTTGAAATAAGGCCACGCTTTGAGGTTTTGGCTGGACATGGACTTTTGGAAACACTATTAAACACAATATTATATATACATATATATGTATATATATATATATATATAAATCATTAAGAATTTATGTTTACATCAGTTTAAGTGAGCAAAAAATAAAAAATCAGTTCTGGAAGTCAACCTGTGTGTTCCTACTTAAATTAGATGTTTAATTTTGTATCATACAGAAGCATCCCAGATACTTATATTTTGTGTTTATAATTTCTTCAATTTATTCAGTGAACCTGTATCGCATTCAGGCATTTAGAAACAACCTAAAGCATGAACTCTGCCCTCAAGGAGATGAATTTTTGGCAGAATAAATGAATAAGTTAATAGTTTAAATACTCTATGATAAATGCTATGACAGAGAAGCAAGCCTCGCCTATGTTGATTAATGAAATAAGGTTTCACTAAGAAGCAACAGAAATTAGGGGTAAAGGAGCATTCAAGACAAGAACTAACATTTTCAAAGACTAAGAGACACAGAGGTAAGAACATAATTTATTTCATATTTGGAGTTTTTAGTTAGCAACATAAGTCTCATTTCAGTGTACAAAAATATACAAATTATTATGTTGCTTAGAGGATCAATATATTTGTGACAGATTTGTTAATCTTATTAATATTAATAAGAATAAAAACATTGAATTATACTATTTTAAAGGCATTTTGCTAATTTTAAATCTTAAGTGCAAATCTGACCATATTACATCTGGGCTGACTACACGTTAATGATGCTACATTGCCTATAAAGTCCAAGCTGTTTGTTTGAAATTTAATTTCTGCCCACCCACTGACTACCTCTGTAGTCTTAAATCCAGTCATATTGTGTTTTATGCTCCAAATATGAATACAAGCTATATTTCCTAATACATGAGTGACCTGCTTGTTTAACAGGCAGTCATTGGAGATACTTTCTCTAACCAAAATAGCCTCTCCATCATCCTTTACCTGACCAATCTTTTTTATCTTTCAAGATTCAGTTGAAATGCAGTCTTTAATGAGAATCATCTGAATTTCCACAATGAGTCATGTGTTTATTTTCATATGAATATTTATCAGATATCATATACCATTATATTACATAAATATTTCCAATGGAATATTTAACAAAATAATTCAAAATAAAGTCAACTGCAAGATACTGGGAGGAGGAGACAGCAAGTGTCACCTTATTCATCACTAGCATCCCCTTAAATGGCAGGCTCCCTGTACACAATAAATGTTTGCTGAAATGAACTGACATCAAATGTAAATGATACAGGCGTAATTTATTCCCTCAGTGAAAACTGATTACTATTTGAGGATGCATAGATTCTTTTATTGGTGGAACAGGGCATGATTATATTGTATCATATTGAACAGTGCTCTAAGGGGCCTACAAAATATTGAAATAATTACCAAACTAAATATAATAATAGATGTTCAAACAGAGCTATAGACAGCAAATAACTCAGTGTTTTTTTCTAATTTAAATATTTGTATAACTTGTATTATTATTTCTGGTTATTATTTTAAATCACACTTTTTTGAGGCTGCTTCATGGGTTATGTATATGGATTGCTTATCAGAGGAAAAAAAACCACCCAAGATCCAGAGTAATGTGAAAATAAAAGTAACTTAACATAAAAATAGATTTAATAAATATCACTGCCAAGTTATACAAGATAAACTGATAATTAATGAGGTAATTAAAATTGTCATGTGCTGTATGACATATTTGGGATATGCTATGTTTCTAAGTTTTCATGTTATTAGATTTAAAAAAAATACTGTAAGTTGTAACCAGAGATGTTCTTGCCATTAAGAGATCTGGAACTTAGATTTGAGCACATGTAGTATTCTTTAGTGCTTTTAAGTATAGTTTGGGTTTCAAACTAGAATTGGAGTGCTTTGTAATAGACAGCTGTGGATTGTCATTCAGTGTCAGTTTGAGATAATGACTTCCTGGTCTGTACATATAAATATTATTGTAGGGATAAGGCTAATGATGAAAGTGCACATGATAGATACTTTCACATAATTTGGGTATAAGCCTTTTTTGCAGGGGTTGGCTAAGGTAGATAGCTAGTGGATCAGATACTCAGTGGATCTCATTCCTGGGTTACCATTTGAGGGTGACATTTGAAATGAACAAATTTAAAGCATGGAAATATATGTTCTAATTTTTTATTCTATGGGGAAACAGCTATCAGTATTTAATTGTTTTTTTTCTAGTGTAATTTGTTTACTTGGAAGAAACTTACAATTGACTTTGTTCAGTGAGAGAACATGGTGAGCCTACCTTTATATTTAGGAACAAGACAGTTACAATTGGCAGCTAGCTTATATTTTGGAGAACTATTTAATATGTCACTGATATAGAGCTAGAGTCACATCATATTACTGTAAAATCTAAATTTAAATTTACTCTCAAGAACTTTCAAAGTTAAACTGACATATAAAATCAAGAGTGTCGATTTAAAAGCAAATTAAAATTTCTGGCAGAGAGTAATATGCAATTAGACCTATGTCTGTCACTCTGAAATATGAATAACAGTATACTTTCTAGAATAAGGGAGGGTATAACTTTTATTATACATATTAGTCCAAAATTTTTCATAAAATAATTTCCCAAGAAATGTAAACATATTAAAACAAAAGTATATATACACATTTTGGTGCCTGGTTAAAGAGAAGAATAAAGTAATGAAAAAGAACTATGTTTCACTGTGGTTTATAAATAAGATATTTTGATTACTACAAAGAGGAGCCATATGTGTACTCTATAAGAACTTCAAAGCTGAAAAGTTCCCAAGAGACCATCCAGCCCAATCCTCTATTTTACTAACGAGGAAACCAAAACCCACAGAGTTATGCGACTTGCATAAGCGAATTAATCGCAGACCTAGAAATCCTGCATAACAATCTAGAGCATAGCTTCCTCTCTGACATTTAATACCTCTCTCCTCTGGTTCATTCTTCTTTGTTTCTTCTTCACCCGTAAGGGCTTTTTATAATCTTAGTGATGGCCTACAGAAAATACAATTTTGTGAATTCTAATGACCATAGAAATGCTTTGGCCTATCAATTATCACCGTAAGAATATATAGGAGATATCCAGTAAGAAAAGTATCTCACTAGTACTGTGCATTCTACATGTCCAGCAGAAAAATTTAAATGACTAATCTTCATAATGTACTCATTGGAGAACAGCTTGCAAATAAACATAACTCAAGCTTTAATTGCATTTTGGTGCAGAAAGTTTATCAATATCAGTTAGTGTATTTTCTCAGGTAATCTTACCTCCTGAGATACGTTAACTACTTTTTATATATATGTTAATTTTTATTTATGATAGATGATTGCAGAGAGTACTAGAGCCTAAATTACAGTTATACAGTCCATCAACATTTCACTTATAATCCGTTTAATGTAAGGAAAGCAATAAAATTTAAAATGCTGCAAATATATATAAGTGATTCCTTTATTAGCTTTTATTCTTATGTTGTTAGTTTTCATTATCACCTATTTAAATTAGCTAGGGAGAGAAGAGCAAATATTTAAGATGGCAGTAATTGTCCTCATGAATTAAAAGTAACAACATAATAAAATAATTATTTAGTATGCACACTTTAAAAATTTCAAGCAATTTAAATTACTTGAATTAGAAATCAGTGATTTTCAGAGATTAAATATTCTTACTCCTATCAGAATAGTATCAGATCTTTTATAGTTAGACTTGAAAAGAAGTAATCCAGATTTTCAATTTGAGATTTTTATATTTTCTATGCTTCTAAATGAAGCATGTATATTTTTCTCACATGCTCAAAATACTGTCATATTAGGTTTTTCACCTTTCATGCTCGTTTGGCTGGACAGGAGGAGTTAAAGAAACTGTCAGTGTTCTCTTTTATTACCAATTAATGGGGGAATAATCTCAAGAATTAAAGAAAGCATTCAACCCGTACCAATCATTTTGTAAACATCTGAATACTCTACCCTCAGGCACCCCCAAATAATAATATTTGCTAGGAAAAAAGTCCTTATTTATGGAATGTTTTTAGCAAGATATCCCTGTGTTAGGTTGCTTATGGTAAACACTTAGCAACTTTAGATTTATGATCACGGCTCTATGGAAAATCACTTATCAGCTAGATGACCATGGAGGAATGAAATGGAGATGCTTCATAACCGAAATGCTTCTGCGTGAGGCAATAAACTGCATAGCTTATTAAGGACTGTCCCTATTACTCTAGGCCAGAGAGCACATGTCTGATGAAAGAAGAAAAAGCCTGAGGAACTATGCAGTGTGTATCAGATCCCACCTTGCTTTGCTTGTCCCTCTGTTTTAATTACCTCCTCTTTATCCCATGGGTAAGGGAGGATTCCTGTCCTGGGGTTATGGGTATGACGGAACACCTGACACCTGACGTAAAGCAACTGAGACCAACAGCAGTTTATTAGTGGCATTTCCACACAGGCTTTGAGAGAAAGGCATCTCAAGTCTCGCAGGGGACATGGGGGTTGTCCTTGGGAACAGAGTGAGCAATCAGACACTGCGGGAGGCAGGATTTGTTGTATCAAGAGAGTGGTCTTCCCCCTGGTTCCCACCGGAGGATGTGATTGGCTTGTTCGAATAATTCTGTGGGTGTAGGGTAGGAGGGAACGGAAGCCCAATACTCAAGGAGAAGTGGAATATGCCTGATCCCCGAGGGAAGCAGCGTCTTTTTATTGGAGGACATATCCGCAGGAACAAAGTTGGGAGGGGAGCTTGCAGTGAGGTCACTGGAGACCCTCCAGGCTTTTCCCAGATGTCAAAGCACACATAAACTGGGCCTTACTTTTCGGCCTTATACCACAAGCTCTTAATGTTTTGTTTTCTACAATTATTAATAATCTTTGGCTCTACATAAGATGTTTGCTTTGTGTAAATTTGATTTAACAATCCGAATTTAATATCACCGTATAGGTTGCATTAATTACTAACTTTAGCCAAATCAACAACATGAACAACATGTAAAATCCCATATAAAATTTTTTCTTCCCTGTTATCAGAACAGAAAAGAAAAACTTCCCTGTTTTTCTTCCCTGTTATAAAAATTATTTCTTCCTTCTTAACCAACCATTTATCATGTCTATTTAGCTGTATGTGCTCTTTTAAACTTGCTGTGTTGGCTGTATTTGTGTATCATAAATATAAACTAGAAAATGGACAAGTAGCTTCCTAAACTTTGAAGTGCAAATGTTTTATTAAGGGAAAAAAAAACCCTCTTTCCCATGGCATTGCACTTCCATAGAAAATATAATTATTTCCCCCAAATCCTTTTACAGGGTTTTGCTATGTTCCAAAGGACAGGGACTGAGCTCACTTTGATTTGAGTTGGACTCTGAACATGGTTGGATTAACAGCCTCGGTCATTAATCTCTACTCCAAATTTCAGCATGCTGTGTCCATCTATTACAGGTGTGGGTGTGTTTTTTGTTGAAACAAAATAATGTATACTTACTAATGCTAAAGTTAACGAACAAAAGCAAGGTTAGTAATTTTTGCAACAAAACCTACCCAGTGAGGGTCCCAGAAGGCTATCTGAGTAATACAGTGGGGCAAATGGTTTCAATTCAATCTCTGGATGAGCTTTGTTTGTTTGTTTGTTCATTTGTTTGTTTGTTTTGGAGACATTCTCACTCTGTCACCGAGTCTGCAGTGCAGTGGTATGATCATGACTCACTGTAGCCTCGACCTCCTGGGCTTAAGCAATCCTCCTGCCCCAGCCTCTGAAGCAACTGGGACTACAGGTGCACACCACCATCCCTAGCTTATTTTTTTTATTTATATTTTTGTAGAGATGGGGTTATTTTTTTTTTGGTTTGTTTGTTTGTTTGTTTTCCCCACGTTGGTTTTAGACTCCTGGGCTTAAGCAATCCTTCTACCTTGGCCTCCCAAAGTGTTGGGATTACAGGTGTGAGCCACTGCACCAGGCCAAGATGATCCTTTTCAACAGCGTCTAAGTTAAAATATGCTACAAATTTATTTAAGATCTTGCTGTAAAATAAATCATTTGAAGTCGATATCATGAAACAACAGGAGAATGCAATGTGTTTCCTCCTTTGTCAACCAACAGTGTGGACCCAGCCTGGACTTGCCCACAAACAGCTGAGCCTAAAGCCTGCTTCATCCATCACCTGACCTTCCATAATGACTCTATATCACCTCATTTCTTCTATTTTTTTTAAAAATTATGCTGCTCTTTCTCTTTAATCTAGTTTTTCTTCTTCTTATATCTTCTTTCTAAAATAAAAGAGCACATAAATGTTTTAAAACAAATTAGATTTTCAACTTTCAGTAAAGATAAAGTTTTGTCAGTAGGGATTAAAGTTTGCCATCCTCGACATTGTTGATATTTCTGGCTCTATAATTCTTGGCTTTGGAGGAAAGGGCTGTCTCGTACACTGGAATCTTTTGCAACATCCCTGGCTTCTACCCATTCAATACTAGAAGTGCATCATATTTCCCTCAGTTGTGACAACCAAAATTAACCCAAAAGTCTCCTAGTGGCAAAACTGCCCCTGGGTAAGAACTGCTGATATAGATGGTGCTAAAGTGTCACCTAGAAATCAGTTCATTGTGTTCCTAGGAACTACGAAAGGAAAATTGACACATTGTAAGAATTGACTCAACATTCATTTGATTTATATAGCAGTGTCTGTTATTTGCAGAAAGCACGTACTGCATGCTGAGATTTCCATAGACTTCATATTGATAAGGACAATATTTATGGTGTTAAAGTATGCCTACATATATAGATCTCCTATATATGTACTGCAGATAAAAATACTATTATGTCACCTCATCAGCATAAATATTGCAAAAGAAAATGACCTCTTGAATTCTCATATCGTTTGTCTGTGATTTGTGGAGAATTACACAACATTACTTCTAAACATTTTCAATCTAAGTGGTTTTATTTTTATTAATTAGGCATTACTTTTTATTTTGCCATTAAGGATATCATCTTTTCAACCAGGATCAATTTGAATCTGTAATCTCCTTTGGTTAATTGGACATTTTCCTTATTGTGAATTTAAGTTTGGGATCAAGAGGAGATTGATTAGATCTGCCACATAGTTTGGCCGGGGATTATTTATATAGCTGTTTCTTTGCATTTCACTTTTGCTAAAAAAGTAGACATTCAAAACAATATAAATTTGTAGTCTGTTAGCAAAGTGTATTCTCTAATATTCTATTATAGATATAGTATGTTCTATAGAGTATATTACACTATATTCTATTCTATTATAGAATACACTTTGCTAACAGAATAAAATTTATATTGTTTTCACGCACTCTATTCACATTTAAGAAACATTAACCTTCATAAATAGCATAAAGGCTGATTTTCTCTAAAACAGAGCAAACAAATCAATAAAATAACTTTGCCCCACTTCTTAGCTTCCACCTCAAAGGGTTCTTTTTTGTTCGTTTGTTTTGTTTTTGTTTTTGCTTTTTGAGATGGAGTCTCGCTCTGTCATCCAGGCTGGAGTGCAGTGGCGTGATCTCGGCTCACTGCAACCTCTGCCTCCCGGGTTCAAGTGATTCTCTTGCCTCAGCCTCCCAAGTAGCTGGGACTACAGATGTGTGCCACCACGCCCAGCTAATTTTTGTATTTTTAGTAGAGACGGGGTTTCACCATGTTGGACAGGCTGGTTTTGAGCTCCTGACCTCGTGATCCACCTGCCTTGGCCTCCCAAAGTGCTGGGATTACAGGCATGAGCCACCATTCCCGTCCCTCAAAGGGCTCTTTTCCTACTAAGGAAGTAAACGATGCAGGCCTGATTGTGTGTTTTTTTGCACTTTTAATAACACCTTCATTGACCATGTGACACCACACAATACCACTCCTTGGTGATGTGCTTAGCAATCCCAAACAAACCTTTCCAATTCACATAAAATGCCACACACCCTATTCCTCCCTACCTCTTAGGGTTGTCATAAGAATTTGAATGATACATGTGAATGCTCTTCTGATTTTGAGGATGAAGTCACTGTGTCATCTTAATCATGCTTATTTGGAGTTGTGCCTAGAGGGGCATAATACACAGTGTGAAAATATGTTCTATTGAAAGTTCAAACGATTGCTTTAGTGGTTGATGCCATTAAATTGGTTTGGAGGATGTTTTATTGCATTTAAATTGGACTGACCACCTCAAAGAGCTATTTGGATAACTCTAGGCAACCTCAGTCTGGCACAGATAATCCAGTTACTTAGTAAGAGTCTTGAGCACAAAACTGGGGAGGGGGTTATATGATAATTCTGATTTTTTTTTTTTTTTTTTGCAAATAAAAAGATACTCTTGACTGTGATCTTATTTCCAATTGTACAATGGGTTCACCTTACAAAATTAAGTATAGTACTATCCCCATGCTTGCTTTTTAATTGAGGAAATAGTGGGTGGTTTGGTTAACTAAACAACCATTTGTTAGATTAATTCTCACTAGCTTGATTCAGAACTATACCTAGTAGGAAATATTGGAGCTAGGAACTGAGCAATAAGCAGCATTTATTTAGGGTGTCTGGCTCATATATATTGTGTCCTTACAACAAAGATGCAAAACAGGTAATTATTCCCCCATTTTGCAAATGACAAAACCGAAGTTGAAGAAGTGAATTAACTTACTCTCATAACAAGCAATGTCACTTTAATTTTTGGCCTTTCTACCAAAGCATGTTACCTCTTAAAGACAGCATAAAATCAGAGCATAACAGATTCATAGAAAGAATGGTTATAATAATAATTACTATCATTACTACTATAATTATAGTTTGTATCCAGAATTGATTAATCATTGATTATAGGTCAGATATTGTGCTAAGTTCCTTATTTAAAACCTCACGATACTGCTACAACTATCTTCATTAGGAACTATCTTCATTTTAACAATATGAAAATGAAGGACAAAATAATTTTTTGTTTATTCATTCAATCACTAAGTGTAAAAATAAGAGCGATTATGTATTTGCTTGTTTAGTGGTGCCATATTCTCAAAGGTCCCAAAGTAACAATTTAAAAAAAAAAATGTATCTGTCCTTGAGGGGAACACAGTACATCTATAGTACAATTTTTCCTAAGAGTAGTTATTTGAAAGTCATGACAAAAAGGGAAGTGGTCAAATAAACTGTGTTGAACAGCCATTGCAAATTATTTAAAGCAATTTTAATGGCAACAACAACAAAAATATGTATTAGGTGAAGAAAAGCAGAATATAAAATTGTTAATACAGATCAATATCTCTTTCACTTAGCAGTTTGATTTCAAAATGTGCAGGCTGGGCACGATGGCTCACGCATGTAATCCCAACACTTTGGGAGGCAAACACAGGTGGAGCACAAGGTCAGGAGATCGAGACCATCCTGGCAAACACGGTGAAACCCTGTCTCTACTAAAAGTACAAAAAAAATATCTGGGGCCGGGCGCGGTGGCTCACGCCTGTAATCTCAGCACTCTGGGAGGCCGAGGCGGGCGGATCACGAGGTCAGGAGATAGAGACCATCTGGCTAACACGGTGAAACCCCGTCTCTACTAAAAAATACAAAAAAATTAGCCAGGCGTGGTGGCGGGCGCCTGTAGTCCCAGCTACTCTGGAGGCTGAGGCAGGAGAATGGCGTGAACCTGGGAGGCGGAGCTTGCAGTGAGCCGAGACCGCGCCACTGCACTCCAGCCTGGGGGACAGAGCGAGACTCTGTCTCAAAAAAAAAATAGAAAAAGAAAAAGAAAAAAACTGCGCAAAAATTACATCAAAATACTAATCATATTTCTGAGATGTAGTATTATGGATAACCTTTTTTATGTTTTTCTGCATTAATATTCAATAACTTTATTACTAATATTCAAATATTACTATAATCGCTGAAAGACAAATGCTGTATGATTCAACTTATATAAGGCATCTAAAATAGTCACATTGATAGAATCAAAGAGTTGAGCGGTGGGTGCCAGGGGCCGGGGAGGAAGAGGAAATGTAGAATTACTATTAATGGGCATGAAGTTGAGCAAGATGAATAAATTCTAGGAATGTGCTACACACCATTGTACTTACAGTCAGAAATAATGCATTGAACACTTACAAATTTGTTAAGAGAGTAGATCTCATGTGTTTTTACCATTGTAAAATAAAATTAAAAAAATGATTAGTCAAAATTGTGAAAAATACAAAACATATATAATTTGCTTTAAATATCATTTTAAAATATGTACAAGATTTGTATCTCAATGTATAAATTCAGATGCACATAAAAGTTCTCATCCCTTTATTTATCAGTTTTAATTTTAAGCTTCCATCTTGCTGTTCTTTCGAAAGGCTTACTCTAAGTCAATCCTGGTTTCATTTTATTTCAGGGTCTTATCGTGTCATTGTGTGCACACACTTGTATGTACATACAGTGATGCATGTGTGTATACACTCATGTGTTCCCAGAGACTAGTTGTGATACTTACAGTGGCCCCTGTTTGTATTTCCTCCTCCACGATTCAGTGATTCTCTGCTGCTTTTCCTGCAGTCTTGGGAACTTGAATCAATTGGGAATGTGTTGATGGTCCACCTATAAATAATTATCCCAAAATAGCAACCAATTACTTTATTTGAAAACAAAACAAAACAAAACAAAAAAACACTAGCTGAATAAACTAGTATACTTAGTATTCGGATACTAATAACATAATTCAAAAACAGTTCTTTGGCCGGGCACGGTGGCTCACGCCTGTAATCCCAGCACTTTGGGAGGTGGGCGGATCACGAGGTCAGGAGATTGAGACCATCCTGGCTCACACGGTGAAACCCCATCTCTACTAAAAATACAAAAATTTAGCCAGGCGTGGTGGCGGGCGCCTGTAGTCCCAGCTACTCAGGAGGCTGAGGCAGGAGAATGGAGTGAACCCGGGAGGCAGAGCTTGCAGTGAGCCGAGATCGCACCACTGCACTCCAGCCTGGGCGACAGAGCGAGACTCCGTCTCAAAAAAAAAAAAAAAAAAAAAAAAAAAAAAAAAAAAAAAAAAACCAGTTCTTTATGATATATATAAAATTAAAACCATAGACAGTACCTACAATCTATATTTTCAATATCACATTAAAAAAGCAGTGTAATATCAGTATATTATTGTGATTTATATGTCACAATTTATCCCTGCTTAAATATCATATAGAATGCTTAAAATTGTATTAATTCAAAGAATTATTCACAATGTCATTCCCAATGTCACTTTTTAGTTTAGAGCAGAGTATGCATGCACAGGGATTATTTGTGGTAACCATATTATGAAGTGTAGCATTATCTTTTATTATAAATGATATGATATAATCAAAAGAGATGGCCTTTTGGGTTTAAAGACAAAATAAATGCCACGTTTACTAAATGGGTATATTTGAGATGATTGCTTAAGCTTTCCAAATCCCATTTTTGCCACTCATAATAGGAATAAGAATGCTTACTTCATAGATTTGTCATGAAGATTAAATTAGATAATAAATGCCAAGTGCTTAGCACCATGGCTGGCTGAAGGTAAGGATTTATACATATTAGCCCTTATTATTATTGCTGCTGTTGTTCTTAGTTCTTCCCTTTGGTAGTGCATAGAGTCATGTAGTAACTGTTTGTACTTCCTATATTCTCAACTCTGAAATGAATTTTATTATCTAGCGTCTGTTCTTAACCTCACAAGAAAACATGCCTTAAACATTAAATAAGCATAAAAATGAGGTCTTGATGCTCACACAGAGAAATAAGCATTTTCCAGAAGGAGTTGCCTTCAAATCAAAATATAATTGATACTACTCAGAAAAGAGATTTTCTCTCTGCACTGATTGACTTGAAAGCAGAATAGAAGACTGGAGTCACGGAGCCAGAAAATGTTTAGAGGTGGCTGGCTTCACATGTATTTTCTAGTCCAACTATTAAGTTTGCAGATGAAGAACTGAGAACTCCCTGAAAGAGGAAACGGCTCCTCCTGAGACTTCCCCATAAGGAACTAGTAGCAGAACCGTATTGGATTTGGTTTTAGTGCTTAGCCCCATGCTCTTCCACTATATTACATTTAAGGTAACATGTACGTTTTCATTTCTATTAGAAGTCATCAATGGGTGGACTTTGAGTGTGAGCATTTTGCCTTGCATGTAATAGATATTCTTAAAATAGTTGTGAAAGAATGAATCCCTCTTTTATCTATCCTATATATGAAATGACTTTGTTGGTAAAAAAAAATGGCCAATTGCTCAGCAATTTACACTAGAGGATAATTTTACAACCGCAGGTATGGGACACACTTGGGTTCCTTTCCACACTTGGACATTTTATAGATGCATTTTTAAGGGAGGAGGAGATAACAGCAATCTCAGTTTTTTTCTGGAAAATAAAAATAATTGTTGTATGCCCAGTGGAACTATGAAGGAGCATATTGGGCCCAAGAAAGTAAAGAATGTCTACACTTAAGCTATTTTTAAATAATAAATTAATTCATAGGAGAAACAGGAATGAGAGGCAAAAATGTCTAGTAATTAATATAAAGTCCAGCAAAATGACTTAAAAACAGTTATATTTGCAAAGAAGACTCAGCACACTTATGTCATAAAAATCCTTGTCTAGTCACAGTTTTAATTTATATATAAAATTAAAACCATAGACAGTACCTAAAATCTATATTTTCAATATCACATTAAAAAAGCAGTGTAATATAAAAAATATAAAAGCAGTATAAAAAATCTTATCTAGTCACAGTTTCAATTTCTCACAATTGTATGATCATTTTGACATTATAGGAGAGTAAGGATATGTAAGTTAGCTAAGAATTACAGCAGCTTTCGAGAAAGATAAGACAGAGAAGTGAGAGATGGAAAGAAATAGGGACAACTCATCGAAATCAATATAAAATATGTTAGTTAATAGCACTGTTTGCAATCTTTAACAAATGTCCTCTAGTGGTTTTTAAGTATAGCACTTCATAAGCCTTTTGAAATGGCATGTTAAAGTAGTATTAAAAGGCTGACTTACCATTAGCATGCTATTTAATGTGTCATTTTAATTTTTAATTTTGGAGAGTTCCTAGAAATAGTGTATTGAGTGAGCATTAACAAAAGATTATTAAAACTCCAATGTCAACTTAATTGATATATCAGAATTCTTATGACAAATAGTTCATAAATTTGTTTCACACATTATGAAATGGAAAAAAGTAACAGGCACATGCTCTGTATATTGCTGTTAAGTGCATATCCTACCATAAAAACCTCTCCATTGTATAACAAGAGGCTTGTGAGATACTTGATGAAAGGGTAGCATCTCACCTGCTAAATGATGTGGAAGAATTCTTTGACTGACCACACCATCTATAGAGATTTGACATTTTCCCTGTGCCTCACATAGCATTCTTCACAAAAGGTGAGTGTTGTTTGTATTACCTTGAATGCACACACACCGCCTTTCTTTCCTCCCATTTCTTTCCCATCTCCAGTCACAGTTCTTATAGTGTATTTTTCTGTAAGTAGTTGCAAAATATTCAATTAATAGCAGAGGGGACTTATTCAATGTCAATATATCCTTAAATAAAGAATAATAAAGAAGAAATTACTGTAGGGAATGGAAAATCATTCTCTCCATCTCCAACAAAACTATATAAAACAAATCCATTTTCTAAAAATGTTAAAATCTTCCCAGTTGGCTGACCTTGTTTCAGTCCAGAAAGACACAGATTTTTAGAACTAAGACTGTGAAGCCCACATCAATTTTGCAGTTTCAAGAGCTCAAATTCCTTATGAAATAAGCTGATGAAAGTGTTTAACCTGTCCAAATGAAAAATAAAATGCTGAGTATTTAAATGCCTCTGAAATTAAGTAAATCTGTTCTATACATGTTTTTCTTCTAATTTCTGCTTCTGATAGAAAATAGTTTAGATGAGATTGTTTTAAATGCACAAATGGACAAGAAATCTACTGTAATATAAAGCCCTGTCCAAATTCCAGCTCTTCCCTTATTAGCTATGAAGCCTTAAGCAAGTCATTGACCTTTTTGGAGCTCAGTTTCCTATATGTAAGGTGAATGTGATAATAGCCGTTATTTAATATTGTTAATTATTAATTGAAAAGTTTAATGGAAAATGTCTTGCACATAGTAATTATTAAGCAAATGGCAACCATTTGAATCTTCACTAGAGGCTATTTTGTATTCTAAGTCAAGAAATATATTGGATAAGAATGAAATTAAGTTGACTACAGATGAACTTTTGATGTAAGTATGAGCCTATTTGTTCTAACTAACTATTCAGAAATTGGGGCAGTGTAATTCTTAAGTACAATTTAAGATGATCTTTTCCAACTCTCATATTTAAACACCAGGTAAACAACATTAGGAGTGGCTGTAGTTTGTTGGTTGCCAACTAGCTGGTTAGTGGCAGACACAGATTTGAACCTACATGTCTGTTGTGTGGATAAAGTTTTCCTCTTATATCCTGTCACTTATATGTTCAGTTTCCCTTGTATCTTAAAATTTTATGAGGAATTAATTATGCTTTTTTAGTATATTCTTCAAGTCCATTATCAATTTCTTAAAGACACAAACTGGTTATTATACTGAATTCCTACTCTTCTCAGCATCTCAAAATGTAAGTTGCACAAAGCTAATAGGCATTTTTAAGTTGATTGTTAGAAGTAGAAATTATTATAAGTAAAAATCATTAGAAATATATTTCTGATTTTACTTACATTTTAGTCAATATTAAAATTAGGAGTTTTAATTAGGAAAATTAAGAAAATAAAGACGGTGATTTTCTCATGAAGTTGACTCATATCTTTTGTACCTGTCTCCTTTCCAAACTCTGAAGTATAAAAAAGGTGGAAAAGGTGGTTTTATAAAACAAAACAAAACAAAACAAAAAACAAAGAAACAAAAAACCTTACAAGTTAATTCAGAGGTCTAAAAGCAAAAGCTTGATATCTGCAACAGGAGCTTGATGTACAGAAACTAGAAGGCAACAAAGGTCACACTGACCTATTATTTAATTAGAAAGAACAAAAGTTTTCTCAATGACCCTAACAGTTCTTTAAACTGAATTGAAGATGCTGGTAGACTGTAACTTTCAGCAGATCGTCGTCAGTTCTAAGGTTATTTCGTCAGTTCTGTTACCATTACAGCCAAGACATCATACGACAGACTACTTCAAATCTCACCTCTACTTGCCAAATCCGGGATGAGAACAGGACAGGTGACACAGCAGACGGTGGCTTCTCCACGCTCATGGTTGGCTGAAGTTGCCTTCTAGATGGGCTTTCCTTTTTATAAAACTAAACAGCATATCACACTGGAAATTGTTTTTGCCTTGTAGATATATCTGGTAACAAATTCTGACATATTGGATTTTATAAATTCTATTTAAGCCTTACAGGAGATTTTAAGTTTCCTAAAATTCTTGCTGTGTTCATTCCCAATTATAGACTAGTAAGTGTTCACACAGACTCTAACGAGTTTTTCTTACTGAGAAAGGGTGCACAAACTCATAATGGGGGAGAATAGTCAAGATAAAAAATGTTGGCATCAGTAATTAAACAGGTTTGCTTTCCCTAATGCCAACCATGGTGGGTATTTATTTCCTCTTTATTTTGAAGACCACATGTTAGACTGTCTTTTAGTCAGGTAAGATTGCTGTAACAAATTACCATAGATTGGGTGATTGTAAACAATATAAATTTATTTCTTATAGTTTTGGGGACTGGAAATCTAAGATCAGGGTGCTAGCATCATCGAGTTTGGGTGAAGGCCCTGTACAAGGTTGCAGACTGCTAGTTCCTTGTTGTATCACCATATAGCGAAGAGAACGAGCTAGCTGTCTGGTCACTTCTTAAGGTGGGACTAGGCTGGGCGCATTGGCTGACGCCTGTAATCCCAGCACTTTGGGAGGCTGAGGTGGGTGGATCACGAGGTCAAGAGACCGAGGCCATCCTGGCCAACATGGTGAAACCCCATCTCTACTAAAAATACAAAAATTAGCCGGGCATGGTGGCACACACCTGTAATCTCAGCTACTCAGGAGGCTGAAGCAGGAGAATCACTGGAACTCATGAGGCGGAAGTTGCAGTGAGCCAAGGTCACGCCAATGCACTCCAGCCTGGTGACAGAGTGAGACTCCGTCTCAAAAAAAAAAAAAAAAAAAAAAAAGGACTAATCCCATTCATAAGGCCTCCACCCTCATGACCTAATTAACTCACAAAGGCCCCACCTCCAAATGCTGTTTTATTGGGGGTCAGATTTCAACATGAATTTTGGGAGGGGACACCAACATTTGGGCAATGAGGGATTAGATCTACTAAACTCAAAAAACTGTGTATTGCTATTCCAAAGAATGGTATTTTTTCATAATTCTTTTTTATGAGTATGCTATAATATTTACAATGTAGCAGTGACTAATCAAAAACCCACCTGTCCGACATTAATTCAGGCATCCATAAGAAGAGATAATCTGAACTGTCCCTAGAATACAAATCTTGAATCTGACAGGTACTATTTCACTTTGGGCAAACTACTTAATTTTTGAGCTTCAACTTCTTTATCCTTAAAGATGAAACAAAGAAATTCTTCATTGATAGAAAGAAAATAATTTCAACAAGCATTCTGTTGAGTATCTTATGAAGTCTCCTCAGCTCAGTGCCACACTTACCTAATCCTCTCGATTCGCATTCGGTTGTTCTCTTCCCATTCCATTTTGTGTTAGTTTCTTATATGGCACAATTTCCACAAACTTATGCCTTAGAACAGACATTTATTATTTTACTGTTTTTGTGGACCAGGTGTCTGGGCATGGCCTAGCCCATCGGCGTGTCAGCCTAG
Source organism: Homo sapiens (assembly GCF_000001405.40). NCBI lineage: Eukaryota > Metazoa > Chordata > Mammalia > Primates > Hominidae > Homo > Homo sapiens. Next base: position 147,067,983 of record NC_000007.14, read on the forward strand.
GCTGTGGTCTGGGCTGAGATTCAGGCTTCTTGTGCAAGCTCGAATACTGTTGGCAGAAGTCTTTTTATCGCAGCTATAGAACTCAGGATGGTTTACTTCTTCAGGGATGGCAGGAGAGACAGCCTTTGTTGCTACAAATCTCAAATCTCTGTATCCTCTTTTAAAGGGGTCATCTGCCTAACTCAGGCCCACTAAGGATGGTCACTCTTCTGACCTAAAATCAACTAATTGGAGACCTGTGAGCATCAGTTGTATGTGTCCATTTGGCAAGGCTACCTTCTTGGGTTGGCCAATCAAACATTAACTTAGGTGTTGTATGGAAGTATTTTATAGACAAGATTAAACTCCATAATAAATTGACTTTATTTATTTATTTGTTTGTTTGTTTTTTCCAAGACATAGTCTTGCTCTGTCGCCCAGGCTGAAGTGCAGTGACTCAATCTCAGCTCACTGCAACCTCCGCCTCCCAGGTTCAAGCTGATTCTCCTGCCTCCACCTCCCAAGCAGCTGGGATTACAGGCATATGCCACCACGCCAAGCTAACTTTTGTATTTTTAGTAGAGATGGGGTTTCACCATGTTGACCAGGCTGGTCTCGAGCTCCTGGACTCGTGATCCGCCAACCTCAGCCTCCCAAAGTGCTGGAACTACAGGCATGAGCCACTGCGCTTGGCCACAAACTCCATAATAAATTTACTTTAAGTAAAGGAGGCTATCTCCAATAGTCTAGCTGGTCCTGGGCTTCTTCCCAAGAGTTTCCAGTCTGCCTTTCCTGACAGCCTGTCCTATGGACTTCAGAACTGCCAAATCATCCCCTACATTGCATAAGCCAATTTCGTGAAATACATCTTAATATTTGTGTATCCTCCCGTGTGTTAGTCCTTTCTGCATTGCTGTAAAGGAATACCTGCAGCTAGGTCATTTATAAAACAAAAGAGTTTATTTGGCTCATGGTTCTGCAGGCTGTACAGGAAGTGCTGGCGTCTTCTGGTGAGACCTCAGAAACTTTTACTCGTGGCAGAAGGCAAGGGAAATCTGTTTTCACATGGCGAGAGAGGGAGTGAAAGAGAGAGGAAGTGCCAGGCCATTTTTAACAATCAGATCTCATGGGGAAAATATAGAGCAAGAATTCACTCATCACCCGGGGAAGGGCACAGAGCCATTTATGAGGGATCCACCCCCATGACCCAAACACCTCTCACTAGGCCCCACCTCCAACATTAGGAATTACATTTCAATGTTAGAATGGCAGGGTAGGGGGAGAGCATAAATATGCAAACTCTATCATCCTGGTTCTGTTTCTTCAGTGAATCCCTGGCTGATATAGGACCTTAATTACATATACTAAATCCACTTACTATGCTGTATAACATAACCATAATCAGAAAAGAAAACCCATCATATTCACAGATTCTGTTCACCCTCAGAAGAAGGGGATTATACAGGTCACCTGTCCCAGAGGCAAGGACATATAGGGGCCATCTCAGAATTCTGTCTTCCACATATTCTCCAACTATTTACTTTTTATTTTCTAATAAATTCTATTCACGGAGAACAAACAGTATGACTTTCTGGGATGGGACAGTAAGAAAGCAGTTGGTAGGGGAGGGAAGAGGTCACATAAATAATGGAATTAAAGCTTTACGTAACATAGAGATTGAGTAAAGATATAAAAGCTGGCCCTTTCTGACAATCGGAGATCCAGTTCCCCAAACTCATTAGCTGCTAATCTCAAAGTTGCTTACTTACTATCATTCTCTGTTTTCTAGTAGGTAGAGTTGTCCAATAGAATTTTCTGTGATAGAGGAAATATTCCACTTCTGCTTTGTTCAATACAGTAGCCACTAGCCATATGTAGCTATGGAGCATTCAAAATGTGGCTATAGTGGCTGAGAAACAGAATTTTTGTTATTAACTAATTTAAATTTAAGTTCAATTAATCATATTGGGATAGTGGCTGCAGTATTAGACAACACAGCATAGAGGAATAATCTATCGGTCACAGCTGGATTTCTACAGGAAACTTGACAGCTTTGGCTATAAATAAGACCTGTGATATGTCTGCAGTTTCAACATTTGTTTTATTAATGTGTACCTGACAAACAAATGACCTGAAAATCTCTTTTCAACCAGAAACAAAATAGACTGGCTCAGTACTATGCTTTTTACATATTGCAATTTTATGTGCTTTGTTTTCACTTTAAAGAAAATATATTGTGCCTATCTACAATCTCAGAGGGAAATTAGGTATATAGCATAGTCTCTTTTCACGTGGAATCTTTTGAGGGGGACTAGATTCATCCGAAACACTCAAATAAAAATATAAATAGACATAAATGCAGAGGCAGAAAAAGCACATTGCCTGTCGGGGAAAAATGAGCTATCAATTCTTCTGTAGCCAAAACCACATATGGTTAGCTCATTTTCAAGGTTCAAATGCTCTGAGAAGTGTCATCGTATTAACCACACCTAAGAACGGATATTCGGGGAATTCTGAGATCCTAACTGACAGTCTGATCAGAAGTTGGGTCCTAGAGAGCTCAGAAGGACTGTTAGAATGCTGATCTGATCCAGAGATTACCCAATGCTAGGATTTTAGTCTTTGATTTCTATATAGCCTACCTGTGGTTCCAGGGAATTTGAAGAGCTTTGCATTTGTCATTAAACTGAAAGAGTCATATAGCCTTGCCAGGGAAAGAAGACAGGGATGCAACTGCTGATTAAGGCCCCATGTTTTTATGTCCTTCTTAGAGTACGGATTCCATGTCAGGCAACTTTAACTAGCTTTCACAAATTTCTCTTGAATATACTCATATTGTTGGCTGGAAGGTTTAAGGAATTATTTGAGAAGGCTTCTCATTTACGATGGAAATGTATCAGAACATGATTTAAAACTAAATAGCAGAGACCTCTGTTTTCAAAAGAAGCATAATTAAAGGAAATTTACCACTGGCAGTGTGTGTGTGTGTGTGTGTATTTGCTTCACTCCAGGCCCAGGACCTGGGTATATGGTTTGGCCTCTCTTTTTCTCCCAGGACCTCATTATGTATCCCTCTGTGTCTTCAACTCTGTGGGACTCTTGCTTGACTTCTTCCAGCTGTTTCACCATAGACACATTCCTTTTATTTTGCTGTGTAAAGCAATTCAACCCAGCCTTCTGACTGGTGCTCTAGGGCCTATAATTTCATCGGCAAATGGCCCATCAAAGTGTTTAGTTAAATTTTCTCCATAACAGAAATTTTCAAGCAATGTTTTAAAATAGTGACTTTTTCTTCTTTTTAACAAATAATGAAGTGATACTTTTAAAGTTATTCAGCTAACAGGTATAAAGCAGATTATCCTGCAAAAAAAAAAAAAAGATGTATACATTCCTCCAACCATACTCTGTGGGAACAGCAGCAGGACTGCCCCGTGCATCTTTCAGCAAGCAGGAGATGCATCCCTCTCTTGTACCATTTATATTAGGCTTTAATTATCTCTCTACATAACTGCAGTCCCCAAATATGAAATGAGTTCCTGATGGCAGAAAAAGCTTCATATCAATTTTTGTAACCCCAGGCCCTAGTATGCTCTCTGGCACCTAATTATAGCAATCAGTGAATACTTGATAGGGTCATCATTCACTTAACAGATATTCCCTGGCCACATATGAGAAAGTGACATTTAAGCTGAGATCTGTAAAATGAGTAAGAGTGAGACATGTGGAAAAGAAGATACGGGTAGTTAAGGCTGAGGGAGTGGCACAGAATGAATCAACTAGCAAGTTAATGAATGACCAAAAATGCTGGTCTATGTAGTACTAGACAGAGGATCACAAATATCTTGTTTCAAGTCATTCTTGAGAGTTCTGGCCATCTGTATCAAAAACTTTTGTTTGGTCATAATAACAATCATTGATTCAGTAACAATGACTAAGAACCAACCATGTACTAGGGGCTGGATATGCCCAGGGTATCATGATGAAAATAAAAACCAGTCTCTGCCTTTGTGGGGAGACTGACATTACAGATCTGCACAGTGGAGGTCATATTGCACCTGTACTCATCCTGGAGGATGGTAGTGCTCTCAAGGTAATAGAAGCCAACGGAAATGTGACTTCAGTAGTGATCTGAGGGAGAACTTCTCCAGGGAGGTGATGGCTGGTTGAGCTTTGGAAAGTAGGTGAAGGTAGGAGGAAGGGTCATATTTCAGGTAAACAAAAGAGCATAAACAGAACTCTTGGGGCAGAAAGACAAGGCTGGTGTGGCTGCAGCACCGAGATTGAAGGGTGATTTGGTATGAAATAAGGCTGGAGAGTTGACAAATCCTGCAATAGATGGCTTTTTAGGCAATGTTCCTGATTTCTGGTTTTGATTCCATTAGAAACCCAAAGAGATGCCACCAAACTATCTTAAGCCAACAGTTTGTATGTGTTGGAGTGATGGACATGGAGGAAGCATATCATGATCATGTCTGCTCTGGGTAAGCCTTGCTCTGGCTGTGGTGTAGAGGACAGGTCTGAAGGCAGAAAGAGAAGACTTGGTAACACCTGTCACAGGATATGACTGCAGTGCCAGGGTGAGACCTGGCAGCCTAGACTAGGATGGTGGTAGCAGAGTGGAAATATCTGGGAGGATTGAAGAGCTATTAGAAGGTAAAATCTACAGAACTTGGTTGTGGGTTACATGTGGGCTGTGGTGGAAAAAAGTGCTGGAAATGCCTCCCATGTGTCAGTCTGGTTTTACCTGGTATTGGGCAATACCATGCAGGTATGGACTGATGGGAGAGACTCAGATTTAAAGAAAGGATCACACATCTGTTGTTTTTTTTATTTTTGAGGAGGTGAACTTAACACTCTGGGTCTTTATTTCCTTTTCTTCCTTTATTCTTTTTTTTTTTTTTTTTTTTTTGAGATGGAGTCTTGCTCTGTTGCCCAGGCTGGAGTGCAGTGGTGTGATCTCGGCTCACTGCAAGCTCCACCTCCTGGGTTCACACCATTCTCCTGCCTCAGCCTCCCAAGTAGCTGGGACTACAGGCACCCGCCACCACGCCCGGCTAATTTTTTGCATTTTTAGTAGAGATGGGGTTTCACCGTGTTAGCCAGGATGGTCTCGATCTCCTGACCTCATGATCCACCCGCCTCGGCCTCCCAAAGCCTTTTCTTTTTTTTTTTTTTTTAACTTTTATTTTAAGTTCAGGACTACATATGCAGGTTTGTTTTATGGATAAGAAAATGTGGTACATATATTCCACAAAATACTATGTAGCCATAAAAAGAATGAGATCATGTCCTTTGCAGGGACACGGATGAAACTGGAGAGCATCATCCTTAGTAAACTAATGCAGGAATGTAAAAAAAAAAAAAAAACCACAAATACTGTATGTTCTCGCTTGTAAGTGGCAGCTAAATAATGAGCACACATGGTAAATGTTGAATCCGAAGTGCCTTTACGGCATCTACAAGGTGTTGCGTGGATAACTAAATAAAGGAGTCAAGATCTCAGCTTGGATAGGACAAACGACAAATTGTGACTTAGCTATGCATAGGAGAGGTAATTGAAACCGTGTTTGGATGAGATCACCTAAGGGTGAGAATAGAGGGTGAGAAAAGAAGAGCATCTAAGACTGGTCCTTAGATCTAAAAATAATGGCTGAATAATGGAACATAAGCTTCAAAGCAGACAGAGAATGAGTGGCAGGTAGGTCAGGGGAAATCTAGAAGGGAGATGTGACAAGAAAGCATGCCAGGAAGACAGAAATGGGCACCAGGGATGAGCACTGCTAAGAGATCATGCAAGATGAGGACTAAAATATTGTCCAGGAAATTAGTAAAATTGAAGTTGTTGGTGACCATAGCATGAGTTGTTTATGGAAGGGACGGAAATTTAAACCTGGGTGATGTGAATGGAGTATGGGGATGAAGGGTGGGGTTAGGAGATTGAGTCAGAAAATGCAGTGTGGCATTTCCAAATGAAACACAGCATCAGATAATAGGATAAAGATGAGGCATTTCATTTGTTCGCTCTTTTAAACAGCCTGCTTTTGGAATCAAGATGGTGAATTCAATTAACCTATTATTATTTCTTGGTATATGACAGTTCACTAGCTATTGCACTCCGTAGAATTTATTTCATTCTATTCACCCTGGCTGAAGAACCATAGGTAAGATCCAACATTTTCAGTGGCAGCCCCTCAAAACCAACGTGTTTCCCTGATAATCATTCTGCTTCCCTTCTTTTGTTGTTTCTGGAGATCTCCATCTGCTCTTCCATTTATCATCTGCTTGATATTCTTGGATGGTGTGCTTGGTTGGCCTATGCTATGGGTTCAGATAGGCAAGTAACTATATTCCCCTTCCCCATTACAGATGATGTGCCTCATTTAGCTATGATAAATATTTGCTCATTTCCTCACATCTGCATATGGCACTGCTACCAATCCATCTTTTCCTCCCCATCCTCATCTCTGCTAAGTTCTTTTCCTGCCACCATTTCTATGGTTGACCAGTTAGCATTTAAGAAAATATGCTGACAGTAGCCGCATCATGGATTAGCATTTCTTCATGTTCATAATGCAAAAGCCCCATTAGATGTAAAAAACTTGCTTTCTTATCTTTCCTTTGTTACACTTATATGGAACCTTTTAGAAGTTCTATTTATAAGTAGAATGATATGAATAAATAGAAATGTGCCAGTGAAATAGAATAGGCCAAAATATACATCATATTAAAAATGAAAATCAATCATTTAAATAATATTATGGCTCTTTGAAATAATATTATACCCTATATCAGGAGGTTTGTGTTTTGTCTTATTTCATTTTCAGTATGTTTCTATTGAAAGTGAGATTGCCATCAAGAATTCTCAAAACCTTCTGGGGTGAGATTTCAGAGCTTCAACTATGTTAATAGCTGTGCTTGGCATATCTAATGGTGTTTTGCTCCTTCTGAAGCATTTTTTTTAATTAGACAATACATTTATAACCAAGCTCAGTGAGGGTCCAGATTGTGGATGAGGATTAAATTGAGATTAAGATATAAGTGTCTGGTCCATTTTAGGAAGTTGTCAAACACCGTTAAGAGTACACAGTAATGTTATTCTCTGATTGTTGAATATAGGCAAGTTTCAAAAGGACCCTTCACAGTTATGAAACTTTTAAGTTTGCTATAGTGAAAAGATTGATACATGGGAATAAAAATTCACTCATGAATCTCATTTTATAAATAAATGCTTCATTTATGTAAATTGTTTGTACTTTGTGTGGGTAAACAATATTGATTGCACATCTAGTTGAAATTACTGGATGAGAAGTATTAGTATCCTATTCTTATGTGTCGATTTAACCTACAGCCTGGGTTCTCTTGACTGCCACATTCCTTTAATTTCCTTTACTTTTATATACTCATTTATCTAGAACTTAAGAAATCCCCATGGCTTGTGGTAACATGAACTGAAGATGGTATTACAACACATTTCCTTCTAGCTCTACCCAGCACGAAAGCTTTATTATAAGGATTCTGGTTCTTCTTGCTATTTGGGGAGTAATATTTTGAAAATTCATAAGATTATGTCCATCAAGCATTCCAGACTAACAATAATAATAGTATATGAATGTATGAAATACCATAACATTTTTAATATGATATTTTTAAATGAATAAATTTCTTCTTTTTTCTTTTTTTTAAATTATACTTTAAGTTCTAGGGTACATGTGTACAACGTGCAGGTTTGTTACATATGTATACATGTGCCATGTTGGTGTGCTACACCCATTAACTGGTCATTTACATTAGGTATATCTCCTAATGCTATCCCTCCCCCTTCCCCCTACCCCACGATAGGCCCCAGTGTGTGATGTTCCCCACCCTGTGTCCAAATATTCTCATTGTTCAATTCCCATCTATGAGTGAGAACATGTGGTGTTTGGTTTTCTGTACCTGCGATAGTTTGCTCAGAATGATGGTTTCCAGCTTCATCCATTTCCCTACAAAGAACCTGAACTCATCCTTTTTTATGGCTGCGTAGTATTCCATGGTGTATATATGCCACATTTTCTTAATCCAGTCTATCATTGATGGACATTTGGGTTGGTTCCAAGTCTTTGCTATTGTGAATAGTGCTGCAGTAAACATACGTGTGCAAGTGTCTTTATAGCAGCATGATTTATAATCCTTTGGGTATATACCCAGTAATGGGACAGCTGGGTCAAATAGTATTTCTAGTTCTAGATCCTTGAGGAATCGCCACACTGTCTTCCACAAAGGTTGAACTAGTTTACAGTCCCACCAACAGTGTAAAAGTGTTCCTATTTCTCCACATCCTCTCCAGCACCGGTTGTTTCCTGACTTGTTAATGAACACCATTCTAACTGGTGTGAGATGGTATCTCATTGTGGTTTTGATTTGCATTTCCCCGATGGCCAGTGATGATGAGCATTTTTTCATGTGTCTGTTGGCTGCATAAATGTCTTCTTTTGAGAAGTGTCTGTTCATATCCTTTGCCCACTTTTTGATGGGGTTGTTTGATTTTTTCTTGCAAATTTGTTTAAGTTCTTTGTAGATTCTGGATATTAGCCCTTTGTCAGATGGGTAGTATTTTTAAGTGAATAAATTTCTAAGTGAAATCAGTTATGACTTTCAAAGCAATTTTTAATCTGCTGCATTTTTATTAGTGATGAAAAGTATATGAGTTTTAATCATGAACACAATTTAAAAAGTCAACCAAAGACTTCAGGATGTTGTTCCTTGTTACTTCTGTCAGTGTAAATTTCATTAATACTATGGGTGATGAATAATATGCAATGTTTAAGCTGTTTATATTTTCTACTTTAATAGACGTTCTGGCTTTACTATCAAAAAGAATGCAAGATTTATAATTTAGAAAACAAGAAGAAAAAGAGCATTGTGAAGGTCAAACTAGCTATTTGCATTTTAAAATAGCTACTTCTCTTTTAATGGACGTTGCTACAAATGTATAGCAATAACCCCTCAGCTGGCAAATAAGGAACATTGTATTAGTTTCCTGAGTTTCTTTAAAACACAACTGCTTCGTTTCCTCCCACAGATACTATGGTATTAGATGTTTTAATTGAATTACTTAGAAAATATATCGTTTAGCTTCTTAATATAAAACTAATTTTAATCTGAGAAAATTTAAAAAAGTATTTTCTCATCCTTAAATTCTTTTTTCCATTGTTTTCCAATTTAGCCCTATTGTGTCTACAACTCAGATTTTAATCTTTTTTTTACTAAAACAAATTTATTATTTAAAAAAATTAACTTTTCTTTTTTTCCTTATAAAAGTAACCTACATTTGTATCTTTAGTTCTAAAATTACAGGTGGCCCTAATTCTTTTCTCTTTGGTATCTGGAGAAAGTGAATGCAATTATGATTAGCAGAAATGCTTTTTTTTCAATTGCACACTTTATTTAGTGGAAACAAAAGATGCATGTATGATTCAACTTCACAAAAGGAAAAGACTCAAAGCAACACTGGTGATGAGCCGTTTCATATTCTTAGGTAGACGCAAGATCCCCGTACTTCCTGAAACCTTATCTAATAGTAAAATATTTTCTGACTGTTTCTCCAGTCTTTTACCACTCTTGTCAATGGATACACACCAAATACATAAATAATGTATGCAGGTTCATTTTGGGTACCATCTAGCTACACAGCCCAGTGGAGTGGTTGAGTACAAAAGCCAGCCTAGCTTGAAATTTCAAGCTTTGACATTTTCTAGCTTCCTTGGGCAAGTTACTTAGCCTTTCTGTGCCTCAGTTTTCTTACCTATAAAATGAGAATAATGATAGTACCCTCATAATAGGGTGATTATGAGGATTGCATCAGGTAACTTTGTAAAGGTTCTGGAACATATAGCAAGTACTATATAAATGTAATACGTATGCAATTAAAATAGGCTTCAAGATACACAGATTACAGATAAAGAAATAGCTGTAGACAGAACATATCACTTTATTCACTCCACATTATTACTTTTTACATTTTCAGGCTTCTTACTACCAACTAACAGGGTATATTATTAGTTCTCTTGTCTATGACATCTGATATACCTTCCTTCCTTTCAAAGAGTGCCAAACATTTTAAATGATACTTACATTTTTCTCCAATGTATGCTGCACAATTAAGTAGATTGATAGATATTTTTCATCAGCACAAAGAGAGGATCGCAATACATATAAGACTTTATCTCTGCTGCAAAATATACCTTGAAAGAATTACATGTATAATGAAAATAACCCTGACAATGCCAACTTTATCTGCGAAATCACTGGCCGTTGACTTTCTGTGAAAGAGTTAAGTACGTTGCTGTATCAAATATTCAGTTACTCATTAATTAAAGTAGAACAAATTCAATACTTTTTTTGTTCAGCAGATTAACCAAAAACTACCATGTACCATGTTTGCAATTTATATTCATCCTATAAACTGCATATGCATTAAACATTTCCATCTGGAGCCCCGATGACTGTTTTTCTCCCATCTCATGCTTGATAAGCTGTTACTGATTAGACAGGGAATTCTGAAGCTGTTGAAAGCACAGATTTTTTTAAAGCTCTATCACCTTGGTATTCTTTATCTCTTAACAGACCTTGCTTGATGCCTGCAGGTTCCATTTTGGCTGCAATCCAGATAGGAACTATAGGTCCCCTGGCCACGATGGTCTAACACAGACAACGTTATTTGGTATCTATCTAATTATTCCTCCATTAAAAAAAACTCTCTATCTAGTCTAATTTCTAATATTGAATTTTTCTTCTTTAATTGTCTCATTTAATTTTTTTTTTTTTGAGATAGAGTCTCACTGTGTCCCCCAGGCTGGAGTGCAGTGGTGAGATCTCAGTTCACTGCAACTTCTGCCTCCCAGATTCAAGCAATTCTCCTACGTCAGTCTCCCGAGTAGCTGGGATTACAGGTGTGCGCCACCATGCCCAGCTAATTTTTTTTATTTTCAGTAGAGACAGGGTTTCACCATGTTGGCCAGGTTGGTCTCGAACTTCTGACCTCAGGTGATCTGCTCACCTTGGCCTCCCAGAGTGCTGGGATTACAGGTGTGAGCCACTGGCCTGGCCGTCTTATTTAATTTGATGTCAAACCTTAATTTAGTCTGTGACATACTCTGTAATATAACATAACTAGCATATTTTGGTGCATGGTGTTTTCTAACTATTGTTATAAAGATTTTACGCATTTTGACTGATTTAATCCTCACTAACTGTGCTACGAGGTAGATGTTATTATTATCCCCATTTAGTAGGAAAACTGAGGTCACAGGGAGGTTGAGTAACACAGCTAGGAGGCAGTAGAGCTCAGCCAGGAACCCAGAGCTTCTAATTCTGGGACCTGTGCTACCTGCCACCACACCACGGCCTGACAGAGCTGTCTTCATCCCACCGTTAGTGGGACATGCAGTTTGGGATGTTGCTCCCGTGAAAAACAGTATTCAAAAGACCCACAGCCTGACTCCTTCTTTATAATACACACCCTGGATAGCATTAGGAGATATACCTAATGCTAAATGACAAGTTAATGGTTGCGGCACACCAACATGGCATATGTATACATATGTAACAAAACTGCATGTTGTGCACATGTACCCTAAAACTTAAAGTATAATAATAATAATAATGATAATAATAATAATAATGCTAATAATAATAAATTAATTATAATACACTCCCTGCCTGACTCCTTCTTTATAATACACACCCTGCCACTTTGTGCTACCTGATAGGAATCATTTAATAGATTAAAAATGGAGTATATAATCTGTGTGCTATTAATAATTAAAAACAATGACAACAGCAAACACAATAACAATCCCATAGCTGCTGTTTGTTGAGAATCCCCACGTGTTTGTCCTTTCACAGTGTCTGTAAGCCGCGAGACTTACTGTCATGTGTCATCAGCACCTGATGAGATATTTTAAATATCACTTCATACTGAGACTCAGAAAAGTGCTCTTTCTTGTAAAAGGGCACAAAGTTAGTAAGTAGTAGAACCAGAATTCAAAGCCTAGTCCTTTTTTTTTTTTTTTTTTGCATAGCCATATGCTCTCTTATATACTAATTGGTTAGAACCCTCTAGCTTGAAAGCAACTCAGCTAGCCAGCAAATATCCCCCCAATTAGGAGGTGACTGATGTCATAACCAGATTGCTCCCTGTTCTCTTTTTGTTTGCTATAAACTTGATCCTTTGGATTTGTGCATATTCTAAAGATCACCCTGTCACCATGCCTGGAGGCAATTAAGTATAAGGGAGTAGTGTTTCAAGATAATCTCCCACTGTGAAAACATGGGAATAATTATCCAACGTAAACATGTCATTTCTTTTCTAAATTACATGGATTCCTTTTTTGCACTTTAAACCTGGATTATACATCTTACTCAACTTCGTATCCAGACCCAGGCATATACCAGCCAGGTGTATAGCATGAACTTAATAAATGTTGATTAAGTGAAGAGACTTAATAATTAATAATTAACTAATATATGATGAAAGAATTTTAAAAATTCACTTGTTTGTCCATAGTTTCATGTAGTCAACAAATGCAATCAAAAGGCCAATGATATCCATGAAGATAACATTTATTTTTTAACTAAAATCCTATGTTTTCTGTAATTGTATGGTAGCATAGAATTTTATATATATAACATACATTCATATATAACATATATAACATGTATATGACATATATATAACATATATATCTATATATAAAATAAATATATATAAATATATATATAAAACTTTGTGTCATTTCAATCCTGAGCTATTTTTTATTTTTCTGCCTCATGTCAATTAGAATCAGTCTCCCCCTTTGATTCCAGTCAATTCAACCACCAGTCGTTTTCCTACCTCTTCCTGACCTCCTCACCAATATTGACTCTGGCTATGTATCCTGAAAAGTGAGAAAGATTGAACTGATATGAATGAAAATTAGAATAAATGTAAAATTCACACATAATATTGTTTATTTCTCCTCATATGGTACACAAATATACACTTAAATTTTATTTCATATGACATCAACATAGTGTATATTCAACAAAATATAACTCCTGATCCTGTCTTAAGGAGTATATAATCTAATGAAAGATTGAACACACAACAGTGCTAAGAACCAACAGCTATGAAGAAGGTGCAATATTCACAAAGAAACTGTCTTTGTGATTTCAGGTAGTGCTCCTTAGTATCGGATTGTTGAGCCACATTTGAAAGAATGATTGTGAATTTATGAGAACATACACCAACGAGTGGACAGTGGGATGCCTCTATCCAGCAACACAGGCCACTGTCTCATAGTTCCTCATCAGCTGCTACAGGATTCACTCCAAATTTCACTATAGGACCTGCCAGCTTGTATTTTTGTCTCTTGAGTCTACGCCAAAACCAAAACTGGCAATCCCAACCACTCATCACTTAAAAACTAAGAGATTCTTTTTTTTTTTTTTTTCTGAGACAGAGTCTCACTCTGTCGCCAGGCTGGAGTGCAGTGGCGCAATCTCAGCTCACCACCTTCTCCGCCTCCCGGGTTCAAGCGATTCTCCTCCCTCAGACTCCTGAGTAGCTGGGACTACAGGCGCACCACCACACCCGGCTAATTTGTGTGTGTGTGTGTGTGTGTGTGTGTGTGTGTGTGTGTGTGTGTATTTTTAATAGAGATGGGGTTTCACCATATTGGCCAGGATGATATTGATCTCCTGACCTTGTGATCTGCCCACCTCAGCCTCTGAAAGTGCTGGGATTACAGGCGTGAGCCACCGCACCCGGCCGAGATTCATTAATCTTAAAGGCTTGGTCAAAGAGCAAGTATTAAAACAGGAATGTCACTTTCAGTTTCATCTTGTGCCGTTGGCCATTCATACCTTCCTGCTACATCTGTACAGTCTTCCACGCCCAGCTTGTGCTTCTAGAAGGAAATCAAATGAGACGATTTGTATGCTGGTGCTCTGAAAAGGAGGGAGCTAGAGGATCAATAGGCTCTAGCTAATAGTTTTTTGGATCCGAATAATAATGTTTATAGAACTGGAAGACTGCAGTTTAGAATGGTCCTTGATCACTTATTCATTGGTCTGTTCAAGCAGGAAATACAATGGTTTCATTGAGTGCTAGGAAAAAAAAGAAAGGTAAAGGGTGTTGAATTCAGCCACTGGCTGGGCTTTGACCAGAAGGGAAAATCAGGGATTGGATGCTGCTATTTAAACATTAGCATTTACAAATTAATTGGTACCACGAAGAAAGGAAAAAGAAACTGAAAACTGTGATTACCAAAGAATAGTTTAGGACCAACATGCTCCCCTTTTCTTTACATTTGCTTAGGCCTTTTATCGCTGCCTCTTTGAACTGAGGCTGAGATTCACTTTTTTGTTTATAAGGGCTTACTTGTTACTGAGAACAGAGCCAAAATGGGCTTGCAGCATCTGCTCATAACTCATTAACCAGAACTTGGTCGTGTGACCACCAACACTTAGATGCAAAGGAGAATAGAAAACTAGTCTGAGTTCTGTAGCCACGTACCCAGCTAAAAGCTGCAATTTGTATCACTAAAGTAAAGCTCACCTTGCGCTTTCATTGAACAGCTAGCAGTCTCTGCCGTGCGATTTACTTCCTCGCCCCTAGACAAATGGAGGAGAGAATTCCTCCTCTTCTGTGCTTTGAAAGATCACAATTGTCATAATTTTTAAGAGGAAATTTAAAATATACATTTAAGGAAGGTTTAATCTTTAGTTCTTACTAAAAATTCTGATCTGACTCAAACTGATTCAAAAAGCAAGGAAATTCAGTTTCCTATATGATGGAAGTGTCAGGGTGGAACAGATCTCAGGAATTAGTTGACCCACTGACCTGATGCTTTGGGAGCCATTTGGGAGCCATTCCGGCATCACTGCGTGTCCTGAGCCTGGCTCCCATCTTGGGGTCAAGATGGCCACACCCTTTCAGTTCTCACAGACACACACTGCAATTTCCAGAGGCAGGGTGAGGCCATCTGCTCTGCCGCCATGTTCTTCTCAGGAATCGGCGGCCTTCCCAAAGGTGTTCTCAGCACGCCTCTCATCCTCTCTCGCTGTAGCTGAGTCACATCCCCATGTTTCATCCAAGTAGCGGCAAGGAAATGGGATTGCCTCGGTTGACTTGGATAGTTCAGGACTGGCTCCCTTGCAGAGAAAAGAGAGTCGCTTCCCTTGAATTATATGAGGACTGGATGGACACTGGACACCCAATGAGTAAAATCAAGGCTTGTCTGAGGTCAACAGTAACACCACCAAAAGCAACAAAGAGGAAATGGATGTTAGGTCGGCAAACACTGTCTGCTACAGTTCATAACGTAGTTTCGAGAGCCTTCAAAAGTATTAATGACAAACTAACGTTTGGAATATGGGGAACACTGTATTTTGCTTCTAGTGATTTGGAGAAGTAGGCAATAATGTCGCTCACCTCTACTAAATGTATATTGTAATGTGTACATTAAATTTAAAATTGTACAAATGATTTCTCATCCTCAAAAGACTAACTCGTTTTCAGGTTAAAAGTAAACATCATTTTATATATATATATACATATATATATATGTATATATATATATACACATATATATGTATATATATATACACACACACGTCTATAATGCTATATATAAAAAATATATCTGTATGTGTGTATATATCTATAATGCTATATATACATATATAATACATATTATATATGATACATAGATATATAATGTATTATATATTTATATAGCATGTGTATATACATATATGCTATATATAGGATTATATATGTGTATACACATATATGTATATATTATATATACATATACACATGTATGTACATATTATATACATATACACATGTATGTACATATTATATACATATACACATGTATGTACATATTATATACATATACACATGTATGTATATATTATATGCATATATACATATACACATGTATGTATATATTATATAGCATTATATATAGCATTATATATGTGTATACACATATATGTATATATAATACATATATACATAATGCTATATATGTATATATAATACATATATGCATAATGCTATATATGTATATATAATACATATATGCATAATGCTATATATGTATATATAATACATATATGCATAATGCTATATATGTATATATAATACATATATGCATAATGCTATATATGTATATATAATACATATATGCATAATGCTATATATGTATATATAATACATATATGCATAATGCTATATATGTATATATAATACATATATGCATAATGCTATATATGTATATATAATACATATATGCATAATGCTATATATGTATATATAATCCATATATGCATAATGCTATATATGTATATATAATATATGCATAATGCTATATATGTATATATAATATATGCATAATGCTATATATGTATATATAATACATATATGCATAATGCTATATATGTATATATAATACATATATGCATAATGCTATATATGTATATACACATATATGCACATAGCATGCTTATAAATGCTCTATATTGTATATACATATAATACTATATATAATATATAATAATATAATAATATATACATGTATATACATATGTACATATAGCATATATAATGCTATATAAGCATGCTATATGTATATATGTATATACATGTATACGTTATACCATATACTATATAATATATAGCATATATAAGCATGCTATATGTATACATAATGCATATATAATATATAATGCTGTATGATAATTATATATAATGTATATAATATGTGATATATGATATATAATATGTAACATGATGATGTAATACATATAATTTTATGTATTTTATTATATATAATTTATATATATGCTATGTATAGGCACACACATATAGTGTTTGTGTGTGTATATATATGTAGCATGAGGTTGTGAGCTAGTCAAACTTTAGTCATATCATTTAATATCTCAAGTTTACATTGATGAAATATTTATAATGAAATCCTTTGCTACCCACTAACTCTGAGAGGTTTGAGTACTTATAAAATCAGGCTTATTTTTTTCTCAAAGTTGAGAAAAGCATTTTTTCTCCAAGTTAGAAAAGCATTTTTTGTTGTTTATTAATAAACCAATCAAAGCTGATGTCTTTTGGTTTGAGAAAAACAAATAATTTTCTTAAGAAAAGTGTGATGAAAATTATAGCATCTTTAATGACTTTGTTCTCCATCTCCTAGTATTGTTATCTTTGTATGTATCCCTTTTGCCTGGGCTGGGAAAACTGTACTGTAGGTCAGGGGTTCCCAGCCTCCAGGCCACGGACCTATACTGGTCCATGGCTTGTTAGGAACCCGGCCACAGCATCAGAAGGTGCCCAGTGGGCAAGCGAATGTTCCCACCTGAGCTCTGCCTCCTGTCAGATGAGTGCCCGCATTAGATTCTCATAGGAGCACTAACCCTACTGTGAACTGCACATGCAAGGGATCTAGGATGAACACTCATGAGAATCTAGTGCCTGATGATCTGAAGTGGAACAACTTCATCCCAAAACCCACCCCCAAGCCCAACCTGTCCGTGGAAAAATTGTCTCCCAAAACACTGGCCCTGGTGCCAGAAAGGTTGGAGATCGCTGCCATAGGTGATATCTCTCCTAGAACCATACACCTCTGGTTTTAAGAGCTAAAAACATACAGACTTATTCTGTAAGTGTAAACATTTTACTGTGTGTTACCTGGCCAATTCTTCACAGCTGATCATTGTATATTTTTAAATTCTCTTCATGTCTCATCGTTTTATTAGCGTGTTTCTTCCCATTATGCCATTCTGAAATCCTTTTACAAGTTGTCCTCTGGTCCAGTGATCTGGTGATACAAATGATTGATAGCAATAAACATATCATTTGCATCTGCAACCCAAATGTCCTGTGTGTTCCTGTAGAAATTATGTAGCTAAGACACGCACACGAAAGCTCTGTAAGTCAAAGAGTAGCGTCGTGTTTTTCCAAATAAATTTTTCTTTAAACCTTGGAGCCTCATTGAAGCACAACTTGAAATGGTAGAAAAACCCAGTGGGGCATGTCACCAAAAGCAGTTTCCTACCGCAGCTTCCAAGAGAACTTCATTAGTGTTTTCAACCTGAATACTAATCAATGGCATAAACTCTAAGGAAATTTTAATATGAATATTTTTAAAGGAGCATTTTAATGTGAACGTAGTGAAAATACAAAATCATATTTAAATAGGAAAGAAAGGGATATCTCTGGGCTCAATGAGTTTTGAAAGAGGAGAGGTTTGAAGAATAAATGAGTTTACAGAAAATAAACAAAAATATGAAACAAAGAAGAAAATAGATACAGAGAAGCAAAAGTATAAAAATAGCAACATTTAAAATTTTTATCTATGCTCTTTTTGATACATCCACAGAAAATATGTTTCTCTTTCTTTTTCTTTTCATAAAATTTATTTTTATTTTTAATTTTTTTAAATTACTTTTTTGAGACAGATTTCTCTCTATCACCCAGAATGGAGTGCAATGGCATGATCATGGCTCATGGCAGCCTCAGTTTCCTGGCTCAGTCAGTAATCCCACCTCAGCCTCCTAAGTAGCTGAAAACAGGCATGCACCACCATATGTAGCTAATATTTTTTAAATTATTTCTGTGGAGACAGGGTCTCTCTATGTTGCCCAGGCTGGCTCAAACTCCTGGGCTCCAGCGATTCTCCACCCCAGCCTCCCAAATCGCTGGAATTATAAGCATGACCACCTAGTCTGGCCATACAGAAGATACATAATCTTAGACCCCCTTCCTCATGTAACATGTAGCACTTTCTCTAACTATATCAAATAATGTCTGGGAAACAGCAATTTTAAATCTTTAGTATGGTATAATTATTGTCAAAGCAAAACAAGATGAAACTTCAGAAAAGTCTAGTACAGAGCTTCAACGAATTCAAGTTAAGTTTTACACCTGTTACTCCCTGATACTTAGAAAAGTTTTATGCTTGCCTCTATTGTGCTTAGAGAGAATGTTGTGGTTTGTAGGAAAATAGACACTGGTAAGTGTAACTGTATCTGAAATTTGCACACTTCACCAGTGTGTCTGGTTATTATCTACATGGTGGACCTTCAGTGACTGGAGGACCTCTCTTTCCATTCAAGCTGTCTTTTTATTAACCGTTCTCTGGGGCCTCAAGTTCCCTCTGCAGCATTTATTTCCCTTTGAGTTAAGTATTGTTCCCATTATTGTCTTAGAAACGTTAAGTATCATTAGATACAGTATCTCATTGTGGATTATGTTATCAGATTCTTTGCAATGTGTCTCTTAACAAAAGGATATTGAGTGGCAGAGTGGGGAGTGGAAAATCACTGAAAAAAGAGGACACCGAAGAGACACATGAATTTTCTTTGTTCTGTTTTTTTTAACCAGTGGTCATCCCTAGCAAAGATGTGTGTAAGTGCATTAAAAACATTTGTGTGTAGCGAAAGTGGTGAATTTCTCTATGCAACATATTTAAAAGTCATTGTTTGTACCTCACTTGCATGGCTATTTGGCCCTATAAATATTGGCTCTTGTCTAATGACATTTTCTATTTCACTTTTTAATAGAATTTGCTGTAAAATGGATACTACAGAAACAGCATTTTATTTTCATTCTTGGCAAAATCATTTCCACCCAAAGTGGGGGAGCTCCTAACAATGGTTGCTTCTACTTTATTTATAAGAAAAATAATCAAGGCCGGGCATGGTGGCTCATGCCTGTAATCCCAGCACTTTGGGAGGCCAAGGTAGGTGGATCATATGAGGTCAGAGTTTGAAACCAGCCTGGACAACATGGTGAAACCCCATCTCTACTAAAAAATACAAAAATTAGCTGGGCATGGTGGCGCACACCTGTAGTCCCAGCTACTTGGGAGGCTGAGGCAGGAGATCCCCTTGAACCCGGGAGGTAGAGGTTGCAGTAGGCCGAGATTGTGCCACTGCACTCCAGCCTAGGCAACACAGCCAGACTCCACCTCAAAAACAAAAAAACAAAAAAAACAGCCATCAAGCAGACATGGTCATCTTTTGCCTGTAGTGCAACAGAACTGTTTAAAACACAGTTTAGGCCTTAACGTGGAAATTCTTGCTTGCAGCTTCCACTAATCAATCTCGCTAACCTCAGGACTCTAACTTTCATTTTCCTAATTCACATTTCAAAACCTTTCTAAATTTCAAGAGGGAATGATTTATCAAATCATCTAACTCTTTCAAATTTTGGAGAAATAAATCTCACTTGGATCACTAAAAATAAAGAAAAGGATCACTATGGAATAATGACCCTTTAATAGAAAAAGAAAATATTTCTAACATAAATATTGGAGCTTTTCTGTGGTAGCTGTCAAATCCAGGAGTTTGGAAATTGGAAAACTAGAAATTAGAAAAGAACAAAAAATAGATGTTTTAAAGTTGCAAAGCTCCTTTTCTAACCTTAAATTTTGAGGTTACAATCAGTTTAAATTTTAAGGTTTAAAGCCAGTTTCTAAATCTTAAAACTATATTATTTACAAGACAATTCAAGTGACAAAATACATAGTAGTCAGTCATAAACTAAATCAGATTCTAAAATATTATGTCATATTATGAAGCAGTATGTAACTAAAGGGCTGGTGATTGAGCCCTGAAGGGCCGTGTCAGGTCTTCTACTTGTTTTCAAAATCAAGGCTGAAGCTGGGTGCAGTTCCCACCTGTAATTCCAACACTTTGGAAGGCCAAGGCAGGAAAATGGCTTGAGCCTACGAGTTCAAGATCAGCCTGCAACATAGAGAGACCCCATCTCTACACAAAAATACAAAAATTAGCTGGACATGGTGGTGCCTCCCTGTAATCCTAGCTACTCAGGAGGCTGAGGCAGGAAGATTGCTTGAGCCCCGGAGTTCAAGGCTGCAGTGGGCTGTGATCATACCACTTCAATCCAGCCTGGGTGACAGAGCAAGATGCTGTCTCCAAATAAATAAATGAAAGAAGAAAGAAAGAGAAAGAGAGAAAGAGAGACAGAGAGATAGAGAGAGAAAGAGAGAAAGAGAAAGAGAAAGAGAAAGAAAAGCAAGACTGCTTCTCCCAGCAATTTGTTAGGATCCTGGCTGTCCGCCCAAGATGGGTTAGATGAATGGCTGACAAGGAATTTGTTTTCTACCACTGTCACATGGGAGCTACATTACCCCAGCTGTTGCCCCTGCAGAGAGAATTATCTGTATGTTCCGTGTATGCATCCCACCTTTTCAACATCTTGTAGCAGTTCCACTTGAGAAGTTTCAAGTGATCGGAGTCCTGGCCCTCCCACTTCATTGTCTCCATAATCCCTAGCATTGCACTTCTCTGTTTGTCAATGTCTATAAATGGTCTCTTTGCAAGGCTTCTCATGCTATGTATAAAACCTTTATAAATAGCATCCACTGCGACTCACACAGAGCCACTTGGAAAAACATTCTTGTCTTGTTTTTCTCACATATGTCTAAAATTTTACACTTTTTCCTTTATTTTTACTTGATTTAGCTAATTTATTCTTAACCACAGCATTGTGGTTTAGTAATTGAGACATTTTCTTCATTTTGAACTCCAGAGTCTCATCAACTTTAGTCATGAAATACAAAAATTGGAAATAAGTCTTTGTTATAAATCTAGGCCTTGGGTAGGAGTTAACTAAGTTTGGTAGTTTGAAAGTTATAGAAACCAAAGTTTACATTGAATACATACAGCCAACCAGGTGTTATGACACTGAATTCCTATATTCAATAAATATTAGTTGTTTTCTGGGTGGCAAATTCATAAGCTATAAAGAAATTCTGGCTTATATTATGCTGATGTGGACAGAATTACAGATGATGGACTTGAAGGTGTTCATATAAGCACCCGTCCTCACTCTGCACCAAAGGTGTCTCAGGGCCTAGTGAGGGGGCAGTGCCAGAAGCCTCCAAAATACTTGTTTCTCTGAAATGTTCTTCAGTACAGAAAGCAGTGGAAGCAGAGTAGACTGAATTATGTATTTTTTCAGCTTTCACTTTATGTCTCTACAGTTTGCTCTCTTCCTCACTGGGGAGAAAATAAACCAGCTACCTCAGGGAAGTCAGCACAAATACAGAACAGTAAGGGAGGGTCCCATAGTCACCAAGCAAGACGCCCAATTTGTCCTAAATCCATTCATGCATGTTATGGTAAAAATATGGCCCTGTTCTCCTTCCAGGCATGAGTCAATGTTGCTAAGTGGGTGGATTAGAATAGTCATTATTTCAAATCAATTAGACAAATACTTAATATGTTGCCACTCCAGCTACTGTGAACCAGATCTTGATTTAGTAAAGAAGACTGATATAGAACATATAAGCGTGTGTGTGTGTGTGTGTGTGTGTGTGTGTTACAATTCTCTGGTATTTACAACAAGGGCTGTACTGTTGTGCTAGGCTAAATATTAGCAAAAAGAGAGGGAAATATGACATGTTTTACCTGAATGGGATTAAATCTTTTATTTTACACTTGCTCAAGGTCATACATTTATTCTTACTGGTCCCAGGTAACTGCAGCCATGAATATTTTTCTTAATTTATTCAGATACTTTTTTAATGTTCTAGAATTAAAATAATTTAATCTTCAGAAATGTGTATCTCTTTTAGCATTATCAAGCAACTAAGAATATAAGTAATAATTATAAATTGTTGTGTTAGATTTTACTTCTAACACCTTCCAATTGTTTATTAAAACAATTGATATAATTATTCTTTGTAAAAATTAACAATATTGACAATTATATGTGGTTTTTAGGATGTAATATTTTTGCTGCAATTGGCTAATTTTGATACTTTTCTTACATAAATTTTAAGTGATTGTCCAGTCACCCGTGAAAGCGTTTCAATGTCTGTGGATTTTATGTTTTAAAATTGCATTTGAAATAGTCCAATTCATAATGTGCTAAAATAATCAAGAAATGTTCTCTAAAATCCTGAATTCTTCCATTTAGGATCTAACTTAAAATTCAAAATTAAAAATAAATGAAAAATTAAGCTTGGGCAAGTCAATCAGAATAAGAGATGCTTAATTTCTGTAGTTGAAGGGAGAAAATTAAAGTGATGTCAGCTTTCTCATGACCCAAGAAGTATGTAGTTGAATCAATAGCATCATGAACGCCCCATCGGATGATCATGGAGTCTCTTAGATTCCTCGTCCCCTTCCTTCTTTCCTTAAACAGACCCAGAAAGTGAATCGGTTTCCTCATGGGCAAATAAACCAAGCCTAGATCCTGATCTCTGGGCTCAGAGCCAATGCTCTTCTGTATCCTGATGGGATGGTCATGATGCTATTGACTCAACTACGTATTTCTTCGGTCATGAGAAAGCTGGCATCACTTTAATTTTCTGAAAAATGCTCTGCCTCAGCATGCTCTTTGTCGTGCCAACCCTTGGAATGAAGGCATGTGCTATGATTCTAAGTTTATATTAAAGAAACTCAACCATATACTTTTTTCTTTTTTCTTTTTTTGAGACAAGAGTCTCGCTCTATCACCAGGCTGGAGTGCAGTGGCACGATCTCGGCTCACTGCAACCTCCGCCTACGGGGTTCAAAAGATTCTCTTGCCTCAGCTTCCCTAGTAGCTGGGACTACAGGTGCGCACCACCACACCCAGCTAATTTTTTTTTTTTTTTCTTGCTCTGTTGCCCAGGCTGGAGTGCAGTGGTGCGATCTCGGCTCACTGCAAGCTCCGCCTCCCAGGTTGAAGCCATTCTCCTGCCTCAGCGTCCCGGGTAGCTGGGACTACAGGTCCCCTCCATCATGCCCGGCTATTTTTTTTGTATTTTTAGTAGAGACGGAATTTCACCATGTTAGCCAGGATGATCTCGATCTCCTGACCTCGTGATCCACCTGTCTGGGCCTCCCAAAGTGCTGGGATTACAGGCGTGAGCCACCGCGCCAGGCCATTTTTTGTATTTTTAATAGAGACGGGGTTTCACCATGTCAGTCAGGATGGTGTCGATCTCCTGACCTCGTGATCTGCCCACCTCCACCTCCCAAAGTGCTGGGACTAGAGGCGTGAGCCACCACTCCTGGCCAACCATTGTCATTTTAAGGACTTAACCACCCTACTATAAATAGCACTTGTAACAGCACTATATCTGTCATGCCTTGGGAAATGCATAAATTGTTAAGATTGACCTAAGCTGTAAAAATGCAGGAAGTTGAAACACAGATGTGTAGGCACTGTATCAAATGTATCCTGTTTCCAAGTTCAGTTCCTTTCCCAATGACCCCCTCAAAAATGTTTTTCTAAAATTAACTGGATTTGTGATATATCTGTCCTTATATTTTCTGAATTCAAAATAATTTCCTTCTTGAAGCTACAGAATTCTGCAACTTTGCAATAGGTTTCTAATATTTCCAATATCTCAGGCCTTTATTCAAAAGAAAATGCCAGATCTTTTCAAGAGAAACCCTGAATTTATGTTAGAAAGAGAAATTCAAGCTATAAATTGTACAAAATAATATCTAAAATTCTTATAGTATAAGAAGTCAACTTCAAGCTTATTTATAGCTTTAAAGTAATTTAGGGTTTAGAGAGAAGAGAGATTAATGTTCCTATTCTAGTAGACTCAATAAAATATTTGTTTTTATGTTGCAATTTTTAAGCAGAATATTTTCTACAAAGTCAGGAAAAGTAGGCAATCATCAAATAGCTTTAAAAAATTCTGAGCTTCACCATAGAGGGAATGTAAATTGAAAAATGTGATTTGGATTCTGTGATTCTTTAGGAATCTCAGATTCTACATACCTCTGTACTACAAAAACTAAACTTATTGTTGATATAGTGGTTAGTGAATTTTAATAATTAGGTATATAAACCACAGTGTTTAGTTGCAGCAAGCATGTCAGGAATGAGTGATTGGCCTTTGTATGTTCTACTTGTAAGTTGCATGTACTAAATGGCACGTCCATGCTGTGGAAGGAAAAGGGGTATGGCCGGGCGCGGTGGCTCACGCCTGTAATCCCAGCACTTTGGGAGGCCGAGGCAGGCGGATCACGACGTCAGGAGATCGAGACCATCCTGGCTAACACGGTGAAACCCTGTCTCTACTAAAAATACAAATACATATATATATATATATATATTAGCCGGGCGTGGTGGCGGATGCCTGTAGTCCCAGCTACTCAGGAGGCTGAGGCAGGAGAATGGCGTGAACTCGGGAGGCGGAGCTTGCAGTGAGCTGAGATCGCACCACTGCACTCCAGCCTGGGCGAAAGAGCGAGACTCCATCTCAAAAAAAAAAAAAAAAAAAGAAAAAGAAAAGGTGTACGTATGTCAGATGATACAATGCAGCATTATACTTATTTTTGAAGAGATTTGCTGTTTGTTAATCATTTGCCTCAAGATTAAATTAAATATTTATTATATTCTGCTGACATATATGTGGTAGTTTGAAATGGTTCTCTACTTTCTTGTGTAAAGGTAAATAAATGCAACGTAAACACAAGCAGTCTTCATTATTGATAGTAATTATGTGCTATAAAGTTGCCAGGAACACTGATTTAGCGAATACTGAATTATTTCTCCTAGGGGAAGTATAGGTTTAGGTTTCAGTGAGCCTCTGGTCACTACAGTTTTTGAGAGGACACAAACACTCATACCGTAGCGTTCTGCCCCAAAACCCCAAAATTCACACAATTCTCACACACAAAATGCGTTTATTCCATCTCAATAGCCCCAACAGTCTTAATTCATTTCAACATCAATTTTAAATTCTAACTCCAAAGTCTCATCTAAATAACATCTAAATCAGATGTGGGTGAGACTCAAGGTGTGATTCATCCAGGGCAAACTGCTCTCCTGCTGTGAACTTGTGAAATCAAACAAGTTGTGTACTTCGAAAATACAATGTGGGACACACATAGAATAGACATTATCACTTTAAAAGGAAAAAAAATAGGAAAGAAGAAAAAGGTAACAGGTCCCAATTTAAAGTCCCAAGCCCCGAATATCCTGCCACCTAGATGGTTCTCTGCAGTAGCCCCACCTCCATGGTGGCTCTGTGCCTGGGTCACCAGCTCACGGCTCTTTCATGCTAGAATCACACACTGGTGGCTTCTACCGGTTTTGATGGCGGCAAAACTTGGGGCAGCCGCAACCCCATGGCACCTCTATACATTGCCCTAGAAGGGACTCTGTGGAGATCTTGCAGAGCAACAGATCTCTTCCTGAGTTCTGCAACTTCCCAGGGCATCCTCATTTCTGTCTGAGACCTCATCGGAATGGCCTTTATCACCCAAATTTCTATCAACATTCTGTTCACGGCCACTTAGGTATACCTTAAGAAGATTGAGGTTCTTTCTACAGCTCTCCTCTTTTCTTCTTAAGTCCTCACCAGAATTACCCTTAAAGGTCCATTCAGAATAATGTAGCCTTTTATTATTATTATTCCTTTTTTTTTTTTTTTTCTTTTGGAGAAGGAGTCTTGCTGTCACCCAGGCTGGAGTGCGGTGCCGCGATCTCGGCTCACTGCAAGCTCCGCCTCCTGGGTTCACGCCATTCTCCTGCCTCAGCCTCCCGCGTAGCTGGGACTACAGGCGTCCGCCACCACGCCTGGCTATTTTTTTTTTTTGTATTTTTAGTAGAGACGGGGTTTCACTGTGTTAGCCAGTATGATCTCTATCTCCTGACCTCGTGATCCGCCTGTCTCGGCCTCCGAAAGTGCTGGGATTATTATTATTATTTTTTTAAAGCATGAACTTTGTAAGCCTTCCAGCCTCTGCCCATGGCCATGCTCCAAAAATGTTCCTACGTTTTTAGTATTTGCTGCAGCAGGACTCTACTTGAGTAGCAATTTTCTGTCTTAGTCTGTTTGGCCTGCTATAACAGAATAATATAAACTAGATAGCTTATAAATAACAGAAATCTAATTTTGCAAGTTCTAATGTCTGAGAAGTCCAAAATCTAGGTACCAAGAGATTTGGTATCTGATGAGGGTCCACTTTCTGGTTCTTAGATGATGCCTTCTTGCTGTGTGCAAGGGCAACGCATCTTTCTGGGGCAACTTTATTTTTTTTGTTTTTGTTTTTAGAGACAGAGTCTTGCTCTGTCACCCAGGCTGGAGTGCAATGGCGCAGTCTCGGCTCACTGCAACCTTCGTCTACCGGGTTCAAGCGATTCTCCTGCCTGAGCCTCCCGAGTAGCTGGGACTATAGGCATGCACCACCACGCCTGGCTAATTTTTTTTTTTTTTTTTTTTTGTATTTTCAGTACAGATGGGGTTTCACCATGTTGGTCAGGCTGGTCTCGAACTCTTTACCTGAAATGATCCTCCCACCTCGGCCTCCCAAAGTGCTGGGATTTCAGGCGTGAGCCACCGCACCCAGCCTCTGGGGCAGCTTTTATGAGAGAACTAATTTCATTCATGAGGACTTCACCATCATAACCTAATCACATCTAAAGGCCCCAACTCCTAACACTGTAACATTAAGAATAAGGTTTTAACATAGGAATTTTGGGAGGACACAAACATTCAGAACATAGCAGTTAATAAAATATTTGTAAAATTTATATATGTATATATATATATTTTCTTTTTAGTAAGTTCTATTTCAAATCTCAGTGAATAAGTTTCAGATGTATGTTGTTTCATTGTCTTTCATTGTTTTTCTTGCTTCTTTCTTTTTTTCTTTTGAATCTGACATCACTACAATATTGATTTTTGTTTCTACCTTCATTTTATAATCATATACCTTACCAAGCTACAGAAACGAGGCAGAAAAACAATTTCCATTTTATTTCAGTACATCTTCCTAAAACTGGATCCTGGTTTGCTTAGTTGTTATTAACAACACTTGATGAGCTATTATTAATTAAATAATTATCTTTTATCTCAAATGTGGAGGTTCTTGTTCCTATGAAGCCCACCCTTCCCTTTAGCAGCAGCAACAACAAAACGACAGGCAGCTTCTCCCTTCATATGGGTCCTGACAGATGAGCCTTTTGGACCCCTCGTAAAAGTAGTAAATGCACCTTTTTCTTTTATTTACATTAACATTTGTTTTTTCTTAACCATGCTCTCTCTATTGATTTAGCATTAATCATGTTGTTTCCTACAGAATTTACCTTTTGAAAAATAAAAACACAGGCAGATACATACTGGTTATTCACAGGAAAATTAGGGTGTAATTATTAGCAGACTAATTGTTTCAGATTTACTATGATCCATGAAGTCTTGTATTTGACAGCTTAAAGAACTATGTGGCCAAGAAGACATAAATGTGGGCCAGTAGCTAGCAGCCTCTGCATAATACAACTCCAAATCAACTGGTGAACATTTAAATTGGAGTAATTTAATTAAAAATTTGAATTTCTGGGCTTCCTTGAAAATGTATTGTTTGAATAACACCAGCATTCCTGCATATCATAAGTTACCTCCATGTGAATAGGGACAGCCCCTTTTATCCACAACATATCCCAAACACTGCATGAATCCTCTGCCATCATGGCTGAGCTTTTAATCTCTTCATTAGAATCTCTTTTTGGTTGATTTTCTAATCAGGGAAATATGTCTCTCTTGGTCATATTGCTATCAAAAGTAAGAAAGTAAAAGATCAATAGAACGACATGATATTTATAACCAGCCAGCATCACACATTTGTATAAACTGCTTGTCTTCTCTGAGCATTGAAGTTGTGACTTCTAATTTTAGAAGCTACAAATCATTTTATCTCTGTCAGGACTGGTTCTCGCCACAAGTTGTGTAAGTACTGCTCATTTATGAAAATAAATTAATTCAACCTCTTCTTCATGGCCCCAGTGAGTGTGCAGGTGTCATGAAGTAATGGACAGCACCCAAGTTCACAGTGAATCAGATTCCCTCCAATGCCCAAATCACTGAGGTGTGTTCACGAGCAGACCACAGAGTACTGTTTTTAGTGTTTTACCAGACAGGACCTAACTGCTCTAGCAAAGAGGAAAGAGAACATTATCTCACAACATGTGTACCTTTTGAGCTTTACTAAGCCTATTTTATGGTTGAGGTAAAATTTTCACCCAAAGGTATGTGAAATCAAACCAAAATTACAGAATTGTTGTAATATATTGCACCATATGCATAACCTCAAAAGATACTGCACACATATGTCCCAATCTCTCACAAATAAGAGAAAATCATTTGTACCAACTAATTTAGCTTTCAGGAAAGCACAGAAAGTAAAATAAATAAAAATGACATTTTTTCCTAATCACCTATTACATATTGCTACTCGTCCTGACAAATTTGTAGGGGTTGTTGATGGATGTATAGCGTTCAGAACATTAATGATTTTACAAGTTTAAAGTAATGGTGTTTGTTCATGTACATATGTGTGGATGAATAGTTGTATGGATGGATGGATGATGTATTAGTTGGTTTTCATGCTGCTGATAAAGATGTACCCAACACTGGGCACTTTACAAAAGAAAGAGGTTTAATGGACTTACAATTCCTCATGGCTAGGGAGGCCTCACCATCATGGCGGAAGGTGGAGGGGACCTTGAACATGGCGGCAGCAAGAGAAAGAATGAGAGCCAAGAGAAACGGGTTTCCCTTTATCAAACCATCAGACGTTGTGAGACTTATTCACTCCCACTAGAACAGTATGAGGGAAACGGTCCCTATGATTCAGTTATCTCCCACCAGATCCCTCCCACAACACGTGGGAATTATGGGAGTACAATTCAAGATGAGATTTGGGTGGAGAAACAGAGACAAAGCATATCAGATGAATTTGAAAAGGATAGCGCATAGAAATTTTGGATAGCTAAAGAAGTAACAAACTAAGATTCTGTGTAAAAATTAAGATGGTGGGAAAATGAATTCGAATATGTAGCGTGTTTCAAAGAGGAATTTTTGACATTTTGTTTTTGTTTTCAGGGTACTGTCAATTTCATTTTAAATTCTGAGGCTTTGTAATATTGGATTTATCATACACCTGGAGTCAGCCACAACTGTAAATTTTGATCTGAAATTCTTCAGTTAGTATAAAATCCCTAACTGCTTTGAAATTCTGTGTAGTGATAATGCATCATCTGAATGCTTTGCATCCTTTAATGACATAGGTATCTTCTGAATTCTGGCTTTGCGTAACTGTTGCCAACACTGTAAGAACATCAGCTCGTTTGAGGCTGGGTCTTTGTTCTCTCTGTTTCTGGGCCCTTTCCACGCCCTTTCTCCTCTCCCTCACTAGCACAGGAGTTATCTTTCCAATGCAAACCTGGACATGCATTTTCCACTTAGAATACCATCATTACACACATGGGCCCTCAGCTTCCTCAGGGAGCATTAAGTCTTTAATCTTCCAATTCTCACCCTGCACATGAATTGTAAGCCTTATGTAGTAAAGTCACAAACAACTGAGCGTTTTTAGAACAGTCGAATGTGCTATTCCCCTATCTGTCTGAATTTATCTTACTCAGTCTTAATTCTCTTTTCACTGGAAAGTTCCTGTATTGTTTTTTGTTTGTTTTTTAACTCACCCCATTACTTCCACAACCCCAGTCTTGACACAATGTTATGGATGTAGAAGATACTTCAGAGTCCAGAAGTTGATCTTAGACATTTAATAATGGTTTCTAAAATTTGCTTTAAAGGAGCTTTTTGCAGGTCTATGGACTAACTTTTGCCAACAATTCCTAGGCTTTTGTTTGATCAAAACTGATTTTTCACTTCTTTTCTAAGATATGGTAAAATAATTTTCTGTACTGAGTGTTTTCTAATATAGTTTATTAGTAGAAAATTTGAGACACAGTAAGGCCAACATATCAGAAAACACCTACCGTGAAAAGATACTAATATTTTATTACTTTATTAATACTTTATATTATTGATACGATATTTATAACCAGCCAGCATCACACATTTGTATAAACTGCTTGTCTTCTCTGAGCATTGAAGTTATTTTATTTTATATAAATACAATTATTACTTTATTAAAATACATGACATTTATTTACTTTATTACTTTTATTACTGTGGCAGGCCATCCCACAGGGTGTAGACCAGAGGTAGGGAGCTCAGGGAAGCACCAGGATCTGTCAGGAGGTAGAGGGGATGAGGGAACTGTGGGCAAGGTCCTTTATTGTAGTTTCCATGGGAAGGGATAGGTGCAGCAGGGTAAGCAGGCTTAGGTCTGGCTAACTGGAATAATTATTCCAGTGAGTTCTGGGGCACAGAGGCTGATCCTAGTTGTCTTGTACCTGATTCTGGGATGAATAGGGAAGACGGATCATGGTCCAGAAGAGAGAAAGCTGGATAAAGGAAGCAGTTGGGGTGTGGACTCTGGATTGATTGCTTTATATTTGGAAAGTGTGCTTACCATCTCTAGAAATTGGCTAACTCTGGGAAGACCAGTCCCTCTAGGGTCAGCAAGGCCCCAGATGTCAAAGCATTGGAGCACAGAGATTAAAATACATGGTCAGGATAGAGGGGAAGTTGAAGCCATGGCAGCTCCAAGAAATGACACAGGTGGCTGCCATTACCCCTGCTCCCACCCTCCACAGCTACCAGCCTCCGTTTACTCATAGGGATAATTGATTTTTTCCTCAATATTATATAAATTACTATGAAAAGAGTGCCTAAAAACAAGTTGCTTATCACTATTTGTAACTAAACTGCTATCTTTATATAGTATCAAAATTTGGACAGAACACTGACAATGATATTTTAAATGGAATTAGAAGGTGAACTGAATAGAGATTTTAAAAATTCCGAAATAAATGTTGGGAATAATTTAAATCAAAAGACATTCTGAGGAGTTTCTTGATGTCTGGTTTCTTTCCTCATCTGTGTAGCATTTACTTAGGATTTATAATTCTAGATAGTCTTTTCGCCAGCAAAAAAACTAGATTTTGTGTGGTCAAAAGTTGTAGAGCTATTTTCAGTAAACAGCGAAGGCGAGAAGGCGAGTCTAATTTATTTGACTTTTTGATTTACAAAAATAAATAAAAACAGCTTCCACATGGATTTCCTACAAATAGATTATATGCTAATTTTCAGAAATTGTTATTATTTCTGCATTATTGGATATATGAGAGTTATAACCCTGCTTAGAAATAGATCACTCTGATTTTCTGATATCTTGTGGGTAATGAGTGGATGAGAGCGAGGACAGAATATAGGTGTGTGCATGTGTTTGTGTGTATGTGTATGGGGGGTGTATGTGTGTGTGAATGTCCATTTTGGGAGGCATAGGGTACCTCAGTGGGCTTTTTTGTCTCTTCACGTTGAATAATGTGATATCTAATGCTATAACTTTAAAAAGTTACTAATATTTTCCTGTGTCTGTTTTTTGTGATTCATTGGGCCAACCAGATGATTAGCCATTTATGGTTTATCATATATACATTTTTTATGGAGTAAGTCAAAAATTAAAATATGTAGGAGTCAATTGATCTTGCCTCTGAAAATCAATAACCATTTCAGATTAGCATACAATGACTGCTCTAAAAGGTGTTTAAAACTTAGTGACTTTAATCTTGGAATATGCAAGTTCCTCATTAATGCATTTAATTCAAAGGAAATTATATATTCTTTATTTAAACTCATACAGGAGTTCAATGTTTTGGCCTTTGACTTATAAACAAATAACTCCAGTGTAAGTATAATAAAAGCATGTTATGTTTAAACCATTTATTCATATCAGACACTCATAGTTGTAAGAGTTGTGTAGCCTTAAATCATGTATAAATCTGTACTCTTAGAAAGTAAACTGCACGGTCACAGGCATAGTTTAGAGGGGAAATAATAACACAGTGGAATTCTCCTTTTGCCTTGTTTCAAACCTAAATGATGTTTCAATCAGTTTAGAAAGTGTTTATGCTGCCAGGAATCCAAAACGGAACAATCCAAAGCCTGTATCCTAGAAGAGCTTCAAGTCCACAGGAAAAATCACGCCCAAAAGAAGATAACTTCAATATAATGTGAGAAGTAAAATGATAAAAGTATGCAAGGAACTAGGGGACAATAGACCAAGGCTGTTTCACACAGGCAGGCTTTCTAGTGGTGAGGCTTATCTGAGGCTTAGAAGATGCCTAAAAGTAAACTAGAACAAGAAAAATGGCTGCTCACTGAAGAAAGTGAGCATAGCCCGAGGAAAGGTGCTATGTGAAGTTTGCGAGGAATTCAATCCGTTTACCATCAGGAGCACATAAAAAGAAAGATGGCACTAAAAATGAGCCTGGACGGGAAGGCAGGAGCTATATCATTGAGGGTGGTATAGGCCACACTGAAGAACCTGGCTTTTGATCTTTTTTGGAAAGAGTTTATTTCAAAAAGGTCTTTCCAGCTTCTGTGTGATGGTTTTAAGACGGGAGAGTTCCCTGGACCCCTTCACGGGACTTGCAACAAGGGTGTGGCTCCATTTCTCGCTCAAGCCCCTTTTGGGAGGAGGAGCATGCAGGTGAGCTGGAGCGAGCGCTTTTGGGCCCTGGCTCCACGGCAGTGTCTAGGGGTGTTGCAGTGCTCTTTTAGCTTTGCCATCTGTGGATGGTTAAGTGTTAACCAGTTCAGTGGAGAGTCAGGGTGACAGCCTTTTATACCCTGTCCTCTTGATACGCAGGTCCTTGTCTGGCATTCAGAAAGAATCAGGTCACATGGACTTGAAGGATGGTGAATGCAGGGATTTTACTGAGTGATGGAGGTGGCTCTCAGCGGGATGGATGGGGAGCTGGAAAGGAGATGGAGTGGGAAGATGATCTTCCCCTGGAGTTCAACCACCCCACGGCCATTCTCCTATCTGACTGTCCCCAGCCAAACCCCTCTTGATGTACAGACGCTTCCTCTCTTCTCTCCTTCTCTGCTGTGCCGCTCTTCTGTTCTACTGCTCGTCTGTTCATGGAGCCTGGGGTTTGGATTTATGAGTATAGGATGGGGAGCACGGCAGGCCAGGGTGGTTTTGAAAGAAGCAACAATTGGGCAGGAAAACAGGATAACTGTTCTCATTTAGCACCACGGTTTGCGGGCTTGAGGGCGGAGCCTTTGCCGGGGAACCACCCTCTTGTCTCCTGTTCATATCAGTTGGATTTAAGAGAAATAAGACCAAAGGATGAGAATTGGTCATTTAACAATGTTAATACAATAGGCAACATGTGAGGTAATGGTAGGCTCATGATAGTACATATAAAAGTAAACTATGAGTTTTAAAAATATCAAAGTGAAATATCAAATTGAAATATCAAATTTCAATTAACAATCATTGCACCTCAAATGAACTCATTGGCTATATGATACTGCCACTGCACAAAGCTCTATATTTCACAGGTCTTGGAAGTCGCTAAATGTAGGTAGGCAAAAAGAAAAAAAAAAAAAAAGAAGCTCAAGAAAGTTCCAGATCTCTGGCTTGAGTGACTGGATAATGGATATAATAAAAGTAGTGGGGCCCAGAGAAAGAATTATATGTTGAGCAGGTAGAGTGAGATGTGCCTGTGGAATATCCATGTGGATCAGCCTTCCAAGTTACTGGATTGGAATCTAAATGGTATGCAGAAATGAAATCAGAGTCCTTTGATATTGTTGTCACTGTCCTAGGGAATATCAAGCACTGAAGGGGAAAGCAACATATTTTAAGCAGAAATATTGCACAAACTGTGAGATGCTGGCCTTCAGGAAAGAAGAGCCTTGAGGTTTTTTGTTTTGTTCCATTTTCCCCAAAGTAGAAGTGATTTTCAGATTCTATCTCTAGATCATTTTTAAAGGATCTGGAGAAGGCTCATTTGCTACTATTACTCTAAATTAGCTATAATGACATTTTGAAATTATTTTATCTGTTTAGGTTTATATCATAGATACATTGAAAAAAAGAAAGGCAGTGGGTTAGGAGGAAGAAAGTATTCAGATAAAAGCAATGTGTAGATGGAATGAGATTGAGTCCACCAGAGTTGTGTCTGTTCTAGGACTGAGTCAATT
Organism: Homo sapiens; assembly: GCF_000001405.40. Classification (NCBI taxonomy): domain Eukaryota; kingdom Metazoa; phylum Chordata; class Mammalia; order Primates; family Hominidae; genus Homo; species Homo sapiens. The sequence continues at coordinate 147,102,893 of NC_000007.14, forward strand.
TAAAATAATGGAATACATTCTTGCCCACCACCACAGCTCCCCAAAAGTAACCTAATGTTACCAGTCTTTTCATCTGACTATTGAAACCTCAAGTATATTTGTAGTTGTAGCACCAAGATGGGTCAGCGAGATTCTTGAAATTTCTTCCAATCTAGTGACTCTAATTTTTTAATGAAGTATGAAATAATAGTGTTTATTATACCTTAATCCAATTAATAGAAATATGAGTGACAACATTCACACATTCTACAAATATTTAATAAATATTCACTGTTTTTCAGGCACTGTTTTAAGTGCTGGGCTTTAGAATGGAACAAAACTAAGTCTCAGAGGAGATATGCTGTAAATATACAAACATCAATGTATCAGGTAGAGATAAATTCCATAAAAATGAATAAAGCTGCGTGAATAGAGAGGAGGTAAAGTTGGCAGTCACACTTTTTATAAAGAATGATCAATGTATCTAAAATATTGACATCTGACAATGAAAATAATACACAGATTTGCATGTGTGTGAAACTTGCAAAATAAGCAAATTCTATCTTCTAGTATTTTTAAACTTCAGTTTCAGAAATGAAATGTATTTCAAACTCTTGAAGTGACTTGGTATTTATTTGCATAAACTATATAGTATTCGATTCTGTACTAACTGGTTAATATACATTTTTACTATTTTTTTAGATTCATATGCTTTATATGTATTTGAGAAATATATATGCTTTTACAAAATTTAAAGTTCCAAATTTACTAGTTTTTAATTAGTTTATTTTTTATAAAAGAAGTCTTTAATTTTGTTTCCTTTTTTCTCTAAAAATCTATATAATTTTTTACCTTTATTGAATTATTATATAATTGAAAAATAAAAATTGTATATATTTGAGATATATGATTCCACAACTCTGTGATATTCTCCCCAAATATCAATAATGCAGTCTAGTCCTAAGAAAACGTCAGACAAATCCAAACTGAGAAAGATTCTACAAAGCACCTGGCTGGTGCTCTTCTAGAGGGTCAAGGTTATGAAAGACAAGGAAAGAATTGGAAACTGTTGCAGATTAGAAGTGACTAGGGAGGCATCATAACTAAATGCAATCTGAGATCCTGGATTGAATCCTAGAACAGCAACAAAAAAGTATTAGTGAAACCCTGGTGAAGTCCAAGTATAATCTGTATTTGAGTGAATGCCACTTAAGTTAGTATTTTCATTTTGACAAATGTGCCAGGTTATATAAAATGTTAATATTAGAGGAAGCTGGGTGAAACATATGAGAATTCTATCTTTCCAACTACCTTTTCAGCTTTTCTCTAAATCTAAAATTTTTCCAAAATAAAAAGTTTGTGAAAATAAAAACAAAACTTCCACCACAATTTTTATTGAAGAAGTTGGACATTTAACTAATGGTACATTTTTAGCTAATCAAAATCCTGTTTTAGAAAACAAAATTATGAAATAAGGTTTAAAAAATGTACAGTAACAAAAATCAAACACAAACTATATACAGTATTATCCATATGTGTATCTATGTACATACGTAAAGATTCTTTATATGCAATTTAAAATAATCACAAATAGTATATTATCATTGGTTATTTCAGTAAAAAATGAAATAATGCCTTTTAAATTTTTTTTCTTTAAACCTTTTTGTTTCTTTCGGATCCCCTATAAAAGTAACTGAAAACATTTGATGGGGAAACGGTATTAAAAGTAACTCTTGAATATTTATTTGTTGATATGCTATATTTACATACTTTTTAATTTTTTCAAATAAGTAGACTACAGTTTCAAATTATATATTCTTTTATAAGTGTCTTTTATTAAGATTAATAAAAAATTTTAATTAAACCATGCAATTTCCCTGTACTATAAATATTATATCACCCCAAACTCAAATTATTAGTGTACATTTTGGACCATGACTAACTGAAATGAAATTCTCCCTCTCTCTCTCCCACTGTCTTTATTCTTCTCCCTTCCTCCCTCATATATATATATATATATATATATATATATATATATATATATATGAATTATTCCATACCTTATATAGTTGGATAGATATTTAGGTAAATATGTAAAATGTAGGATATGCACCAGTTAAGTACCCATTAACACTGGTGATTTTTCGTGGTTGGGATTCACTCTCTACTTTCTATATTTCTGTATTGCTTAATTTCTTTTGATCAATAGACATAGTTTGTAATAAAATATATAGCAAAGATATCTTTTAAAATTAAAATATCAAATAAACTTAAAATTTTAATATTAAAATGTTTATATGGTAAACACTTCTTCAAATTATCTTATTCAAAGTTAGAAAGTGAAGACTAAGGAACAATAAAATGTTTTTGAAAAAGCGTTTTCTACCATGATGATTTGATGAATTGGGCATATTACCAGCTTGCTGAGCTTTTGTTAGGAACAAAATTGTGGAAACACTATGATTTTGCATTCATTTTTTGACTAGCCATTATTGTTCAGATTGCTTAAACAGTTCAACCATACATATTTAATCACCGCATCGAAAACTTAATTCTAGGGAGTGATAAGCAATCAGGATAATAGAAGAAAAAAGTGGCTTGTCCCCAAATAAGCACAGCGCATTATTAGATATCAAATGAAATTTTAATCTATTTTTGTAGGAAACAGAGCCAAACTGTGATGGATGTTCTTTACATTGTTGTAGAATATCCCAGACTTTTTAAAGAGTACATGGTATGTGTTAAAGTGTAAATATCATAGATTACTTCTAGAAATTTTATAATTTTCAAGCCAGCTCTGAGCTTACATCCACAAGAGGATGTGCTGATATTTTGGAAGCATTTAACCCATTCATAGAATAACAACTTTTAAATTTTGTTTTAGATAGATGGATAGATAGGTGGGAAAATATGTTGAAACTTTTTCTTTTTCTTTGTAGGGAATCTAGGTTACAGAGAATTTTGTTTCCCAGCTGACCCTGACAACTTACCATTTGTAAAGTGAGACTTGGTCTACATGAATAGCTGTCCTTCCTGTTTTTATTAATATCTTAGGATTGTCTGAAAAAAATAAGCCATCTTCATCTTTTCTGTCACATTTTCTCATTGCTCTAAAAGTAAGACAGGAATGCATTAACATTTGCGTAAATCATTACTCTGTACCTAGAACTAAATGTGTTTTGATTTAGAAGAAAGTATAGAGGAGGTGATTCTTGTTCCCTGAGTAAAAGCTCAGGGAACGTTTACTTCCTGAAAGATGAATTAGAAATATTTTATGTCAATTAAAATATGCTAAAGGTGTATAAAACAAGATGTGTCTATTATTTAACTGTCACTGATAGGAAATTGACTGCAAAACTACTGTCTAGAGTTCAGAATTTACTGTCATCTGTTTTTCTTTTATTCACTTTTCAAGATAAAAAGTATCATCAACTGCTGGATTATACGTTCTCCTTTATTTCTCATTGCACATGAAAAAGATATTGCCATTGAAATTCAGCTGTGACAGTATATAGGATTAAGCTGAAGTTTAATTGGCTTTGCAGTGTTAGCAGAAGCCAAAATTAAACGATTGATTTTTTCCCTCATATTAAAATAAACCTCTGTGATTCACAGTCTCAGAGAACAGAATTCTGTTGATTAAGAAAGTCTTTTTATGGGCAATAAAGAGCTGATTATAAGAATTAAAATTTAAAGTTTAAGGTCATATTTTTTCTGAATGTTTTATAATATAACATTGTACAAACTTATTTAAAAGCATAAATATTTGAGATACTAGCATAGATATTTTCAAAGTATGTGAAAGCCATCAATGATTTGAAAGGCATGCTTAGATTTCATTTTATTCGAAGTAACTGTATGCACAACAATTCACTTTATAGAATTAAGTAAACTCAACACAAAAAAGGAGTGGATGTGGTTCTGGCAGCCCTGCATCTCTACTGTGGCCCCCAAAGGAATTTATTTGGTGGTATGCTCCACTTACAAGGCAAACCAAAGTGTTCCTCGTGGTGATTGGAGTAAACAAGTGCCAGAGAACTAGGACATGAAATGAGAAAATATTTCTCTGACAGGCTTTAAACTGGCTATTATTTTTCTCCAATGTCTCCCTCTGGAGTTCTTTAGCCAGACCTTACCCAAAACCTAGAGGCTAGCTTTGTCCAGACTTGTAATTCTAAAGTTATTAGAGCTGTTCCGTTTGACTAGGCTTTCTATGATTTAAAAATGAAAAGCTTACAGAAATAGTCTATTGAAAAGATTTTTAACAGTGAAGATTTGATCATGGTAACGAAGCTTCTATTTGAACTCAATATTTGATTTGAATGGTTACATTGCATTTTGAATCATTCTATGAATCGAGAATGCATTGACCAATAGTGCCTAATAAATAATATCATCTCATTTTTATTTCTGGTGTGAAATAAATAGTAGTTATCAAATGAATCCTCACAGTCACATATTTCTGATCATATTTCCCATTTTTTAAAAAGTTTACATACTTTCCTTATTTTAATCTATTCCCCTGAAACTAAAATTAGAGCTGCTGTAGTCATACGCTGGATATTTGTTCTTTAAACTCATATATGGATAAGTGAAGATATCTGTGTCCAATGTAGTGAAAAAACAAACAATGGTGCCCAATTCTCCATTCCAAATGCAAGGAGGTAATAAGAAATTTGAGACACACTGCTTCCTAAGAATAAATGGTAAGAAGTTTCTGAAAATTCGATTGGTTGTAAACTCTGAATACTACAACAAGGTTTACTAAAATTGTGGTGAAATATAAAAACCATTTAAAAAAAAGAGAATAGCATAAAAGATTACATTCCAAGTGCCTTCATTCTTACATCAAAGAAAACAACTTTTTGAATAAAATATATACTTAAAATCATGAAGAATTATCATTAAGGAATCAAACATTTAAGTCTCATAATCTGTTTGAGATTTAAAAATTTTACGATTTTGGTCTAAACTCTAGATTTCTAAGTTAAGATTTGAAGCATATAACCCATTGAATTTATATTACTAATTTTGTAATTAAAGTAAAATGTTCAACTGATAGAGCTTTTATGAGCATTTTTATCAATACTCTCCATAAAACCTCCTTTAAAACAAACACAGTAAATCAAAAGAAGGAATAGAAGAAAAACAGAGGACTGTCAATTTCTCAAGAAAAACACTTACTTAATTCTCATTTATTCTTTGCAGACACCTGTTGGAAGTGGATGGTAACATACATGGCTGAACTAATATGTTATTTTTTTTTTTGTTTTAGGGGCTGATGTTATCAACTTTGATGGCCATGTTGTATTACCATATAGATTCAGAAACAAGAAGATGAAAACACTGAAAGATGTCATTGCCTTGAACTTTAAGACGTCTGAAAGTGAAGGAGTAATCCTGCACGGAGAAGGACAGCAAGGAGATTACATTACCTTGGAACTGAAAAAAGCCAAGCTGGTCCTCAGTTTAAACTTAGGTGTGTTCTGACTGTCAGTTCTATTCTTTCCGTTATGGATGTTCCCATTAGGAATATGTTCATGTTGCTCAATTCTTTAAAATGTAAATTATAAAAAGAGCTCATGTTATATTTCAATTCATACTTAATCTATAACAGTAGGTATATAATGAAACACCTAGTCATTCAAAAAATATTTATTAAACACCTCTACTATACAAGTTACTATACTAGTCTTTGGCCTACAGCAAGGAACAAATAGACAAGATCCTTAAGCTCATTAAGTTCATGACCTAACGGAGGAATCAGACCATATAGCATTTATTATTCTTATTTTAAAACAACTAAGCAAAAATGAATGTCTTCAAATAATATATATTATGAACCAGTTGAACAGATTAATATGATAAAGGGACTAGGTTAATACGTCCTGTTCAAAGGCAACAGGGCTAATATTAGAATGTGTGGTGAAGAAAGACTGCTCTGGGGAGAAAATATTTAAGATGAGATCAGAGTGATGAAAAGGAATTAGCCATGAAAACATGAGAGAAAGAAGATTACATAGGAAGAGAACATGGAAGACCAAAAGCACGCTCAAGAAGCAGGAAGGATGCCGCCGTGCATAAATGCTGTGAGTTATTAAGACAAAAGATGAAGTCCAAGAGGTGGAAATTGCCCAAATCCTGTGGGATCCTGCAGGGCATTACAAATTGTTTAGATATTATTTTTAAGAATAGGAAGCTGTTGGAAGTCATTAAACTGTATGGCTTTATCATCTTATTTTTTATCAAGCGCATTGAGACTTCTGTAAGAAGAATTACTTGTGTAGATATGAGAGTCGCAGCAGAACTTCTGCATAGTTTGGGTGAGAGATAGTACTGCTTGTATGAGGTGGTTATCAGGGGAGATGCAGAGAAATATGTCAATTAAGGAAATAATTTTAGTGGTACATTCAGCATGACTTATGATGGGTTGGATATAGCCTAAGAAGAAAAGAGTAGAAATAAAGAATGAGCCCTAGGATTTGGGCTTGAGCACCAAATGGACATTAGTGCCATTTTCAGAAATAGAGAAGACTTTAGGAGGAATTCTAGAGATCAGTTTGGACATGGTTAATTTGAGCTGCTTATGAAACATCTAAGTAGAACTTTCGATTATGGAAGTTGATATATGAGACTGAGAGAGGAAGACTAAAATGGAGACTAAGTAATTGTGAATATTGAGTAGGAGAAAATGAAGAAAGTGTAGTATCACAGAAATCAAGGAAACAAAAGAGGTTGTCAACTGTTGAATTCATCTAAATGTCATGTAAGATGAAGACAGAGAGGCAAATATTGGGCTTAACAACATGGAGGTTACTGTTAATTTCTACTCTGTGGAATAGAAAAGACAAATTTTGTAGGTAAAAAAGAGAATGAAAGGCGTTAAGTAAATATTTTGACTAACTAGAGAGGAAGAACAGTTAGTTAACTGTTAACTAGAAAGAAAGAACATAGAGAAATGAAATGTTGGCTGCTGAAAGATCTGAACTCAAATTACTGTTTTATGTGGGGTTGTTGTTATTTGTATTTATTTATTTATTTATTTATTTATTTATTTATTTACTTATTTTTGAGTCAGAGTCTCACCCTGTCACCCAGGCTGGAGTGCAGTGGCATGATCTCTGCTCACTGCCACCTCTGCCTCCCAGGCTTAAGTGATGCTCCTGCCTCAGCCTCCCGAGTAGCTGGGATTACAGGCACCTACCACCATGCCCGGTTAATTTTTGTATTTTTAGTAGAGATGGGGTTTCACCATGTTGGCCAGGTTGTTTTCAAACTCCTGACCTCAAATGATCCACCTGCCTTGGCCTTCCAAAGTGCTGGGATTACAAGCCACCGTGCCTGGCCCTGTTGTTGTTTTTAAATGGACAAGACCAATGTATGTTTGTATGTTGATGATGTAGCTAGGATTTACTTAAAGCTAAAGTGAAGATCTGCAAGATTGGTACTGGCATTCAAAATTACAGTTTAGGCAAAGTAATGGTACCTTTTTCTTTTTTTTTTTTAAATTTAAGTTCATGAATGCATGGGCAGGATGTACAACTTTGTTACATAGGTAAACGTGTGCCGTGACGGTTGTCTGCACAGATCATCCCATCACCTAAGTATTAAGGCTGGCATCCATTAGCTATTATTCTTGATGCTTTCCTTCCTCACCACCTAAACCTCCGACAGACCCCATGTGTGTTGTTCCTCTCTATGTGTCCATATGTTCTCATCATTCAGTTCTCACTTATAAGTGAGAACATGTGGTATTTGGCTTTCTGTTCCTGCATTAGTTTGCTGAGGACAATAGCCTCCAGCTCCATCCATGTGCCCGCAAAGGACAGGATCTCATTCCTTTTTATGGCTGCGTAGTATTCCATGGTGTATATGTACCACATTTTCTTTACCCAGTCTATCATTGATGGGCATTTAGGTTGATTTCATGTCTTTGCTATTGTGAATAGTGCTGCAATGAACATATGTATGCATGTATCTTTATAATAGAATAAATTATATTCCTTTGGGTTTATATCCAGTAATGGGATTGCTGGGTCAAATGGTATTTCTGCCTCTAGGTCTTTGAGGAATCTTCACGCTGTCTTCCACAATGATTGAACTAATTTCCCCTCCCACCAACAGCATAAAAGCTTTCCTTTTTCTCTGCAGCATCACCAGCATCTGTTGTTTTTTGACTTTTTAATAATAGTCATTTTGACTGGTGTGAGATGGTATCTCATTGCAGTTTTGATTTGCATTTCTCTAATGATCAGTGATGTAGAGATTTTTTTTCATGTTTGTTGGCCACATGTATATCTTCTTTTGAGAATTGTCTGTTCATGTCCTTTGCCCACATTTTTATGAGGTTGTTTTTGTCTTGTAAATTTAAGTTCCTTGCAGAAGCTAGATATTAGACCTTTGTCAGATGGATAGATTGCAAAATTTGTTTCTCATTCTGTAGGTTGTCTGTTCACTCTGATGACAGTTTCTTTTACTGTGCAGAAGCACTTCAGTTTAATTATATCCCATCTGTCAATTTTTGCTTTTGTTGCAATTGCTTTTGGCATCTCCATCATGAAATCTTTGCCTGTGCCCATGTCCTGAATGGAATTGCCTATATAGTCTTCTAAGGTTTTTAGAGTTTTGGGTTTTAAATTAAAGTCTTTAATTCATTTTGAATTGATTTTTTTGTACAGTGTAAGGAAGGGGTCCAGTTTCAATTTTCTGCATATGACTAGCCAGTTCTTCCAGCACCATTTATTCAATGAGGAATCCTTTTCCCATTGCTTGTTTTTGTCAGGTTTGTTGAAGATCAGGTGGTTATAGGTGTATGGTCTTATTTCTGAGTTCTATACTGTGTCCCATTGGTCTATGTGTCTGTTCATATCAGTACCATGCTGTTTTGGTTACAGTAGCCTTGCAGTAGAGTTTGAAGTTGGGTAGTGTGATGCCTCCAGCTTTGTTCTTTTTTCTTAGGATTGTGTTGGCCATTGGACTCTTTTTTGGTTCCATGTGAATTTTTAAATAGTTTTTTTAAATTCTCTGAAGAATGGTCAATGGTAGTTTAATGGGAATAGTATTGAATCTATGTATTGCTTTGGGCAATATGGCCATTTTCATGATGTTGATTATTCCTATTCTCCCTATCCATGAGCATGGAATGTTTTTCCATTTATTTGTGTCATCTCTGATTTCTTTGAGCAGAGGTTTGTAGTTCTTCTTAATAAGGTCCTTCACTTCCCTTGTTAGCTATATCTTAGGTATTTTATATTATTTTTGGCAATTGTGAATGAGAGTTCATTCATAATTTGACTCTCTGATTGCTTATTGTTGGCTTATAGGAATGCTTGTGATTTTTATACATTGATTTTGTATCCTGAGACTTTGCTGAAGTTGCTTATCGGCTTAAGAATCTTTTGGGCTGAGATGATGAGGTTTCCTAGTTACAGGATCATGACATCTGCAAAGATAATTTGACTTCCTTTCTTCCTATTTGAATACCCTTTGTTTCTTTCTCTTGTCTGATTGCCCTGGCCAGGATAGCCAATACTGTGTTGAATAGTCACGGTGAGAGAAGGCATCCTTGTCTTGTGACAGTTTTCTGTGGAATGCTTCCAGCTTTTCCCCATTCAGTATGATATTGGCTGTGGGTTTGTCATAGATGGCTCTTACTATTTTGAGGTATGTTCCTTCAAAACCTAGTTAACTGAGAGTTTTTAATATAAAGGGATGTTGAATTTTATTCAAGAACTTTTCTGCATCTACTGAGATAATCATGTGGTTTTTGTCTTTAGATCTCTTTGTGTGATTAATCACATTTATTGATATGTGTATGTTGAACCAACCCTACATCTCAGGGATGAGGCCTACATGATTACAGTGAATACCCATTTTGATGTGCTGCTGGATTCAGTTTGCCATAACTTTGTTAAGCATTTTTGCATAGATGTTCATCAAAAATATTTGCCCGAAGTTTTGTTGTTGTTGTTGTTGTTGTTGTTGTTGTATATCCACCAGGTTTTGGTACCAGGATGATGCTGGCCTCATAGAGTGTGCTAGAGAGGAGTCCTTCCTTTTCAGGTTTTTGGAATAGTTTGAATAGGCATGTTATCAGCTCTTCTTTGGACCTCTGGTAGAATGCAGCTGTGAGTCTGTCTCGTCCTGGGCTTTTTCTGGTTGGTAGGCTATTTATTACTGCCTCAATTTCAGAAGTCATTATTGGTCTGGCTTAGGGAATCAATTTCTTTCTGGTTCAGTCTTGGGAGGGTGCATGTGTCCAGAAATTTTCCATTTCTTCTAGATTTTCTAGTTTATGTGCATAGAGGTGTTCATAGCATTCTCTGATGGTACAGAGAATACTATAAAAATAATAGAGAAATACAAACATATTTCTATAGGGAAATACAAATGTATTTCTGTGAGGTCAGTGGTGATGCCCCCCTTACGATTTCTGGTTGTGTTTATTTGAATCGTCTCTCTTTTCTTCTTTATTATTCTAGCTAATGGACTATTTTATTAATTATTTCAAAAAACCAGTGTATTAAATTCTCACACTGGTATAAAGAACTGCCCAAGACTGAGTGATTTATTAAAAAAAAAAAAGAGGTTTACTTGACTTACAGTTTCACATGGCTGGAGAGGCCTCAGGAAACTTACAATCAGGGCCGAAAGGGAAGCAAACACATCCTTCTTCACATGGCGGCAGGAGAGAGAAGTGCAGAGTGAAGTCGGGGAAAGCCCTTTATAAAAACACCAGATGTCATGAGAACTCAATCACTATGATGAGAACAGCAAGGGGAACCACCCCCATGACGTCCCTCCCCCAACACATGGGGATTATAATTTGGATTACAATTCAAGATACGATTTGGGTGGGAACACAGAGCCAGATCATATCAACCAGCTCCAGGATTTATTGATTTTTTGAAGGATTTTTTTGTGTGTGCCTCTCTATTCCACTTCAGTTTAGCTCTGATCTTGGTTATTTCTTGTCTTCTACTAGCTTTGGGGTTTGTTTGCTCTTGGTTCTCTAATTCTTTTAGTTGTGATGCTAGGTTGCTAACTTGAGGTACTTCTAGCTGTTTGATGTGGGCATTTAGGGCCACAAATTTCCCTCTTAACACTGCTTTAACTGCATCCCAGAGATTCTGGTACTTTGTATCTTTGTTCTCATTAGTTTCAAAGAAATTCTTGATTTCTGCCTTAATTTCATTATTTACCCAAGAGTCACTAAGGAGCAGGTTGTTCACTTTCCATGTAGTTGTGTCGTTTTGAGAGAATTTCTTAATCATAAGTTCTAATTTGATTGTGCTGTGGTCTGAGAGACTGTTATGATTTCAGTCCTTTTTCATTTGCTGTTGAGTGTTTTACTTTCAATTATGTCATCAATTTTAGAGTAAGTGCTGTGTAGTGATGAGAAGTATGCATATTCTGTTGTCTTGGGATGGAGAATTCTGTATATATCTATCAGGTCTACTTGATCCAAAGCTGAGTTCAAGTCCTGGATGTCTTTGTTAATTTTCTGCCTCGATGATCTGTCTAATATTGTCAGTGGGGTATTAAAGTCTCCCACTATTATTGTGTAGGAATCTAAGTCTCTTTGAAGATCTCTAAGAACTTGCTTTATGAATCTGGGTGCTCCTGTACTGGGTGCATATATATTTATGATAGTTAACTCTTCTTGTTGAATTTAGCCTTTTACCATTAGGTAATGCCCTTCTTTGTGTTTTTTGATCTTTGGTGGGTTAAAGTCTGTTTTGTCAGAAACTACAATTGCAACCCCTGCTTTTTTCTGTTTTCCATTTGCTTGGTACATTTTTCTCCATCCTTTATTTTGAGCTTATGTGTGTGTTTGCATGTGAGATGGGTCTCTTGAAGACAGCATACCATTGGGTCTTGGCTCTTTATCCAGCTTGCCAGTCTGTGTCTTTTAACTGGGGCATTTAACCCATTTACATTTAAGGTTAGTATTGTTATGTGTGGATTTGATCCTGTCATCATGCTGCTAGCTGGTTAGTTTGCAGGCTTGTTTATGTGATTGCTTCATAGTGTCACTGGTCTGTGTATTTCGATGTGTTTCTGTAGTGGCTGGTAATGGTTTTTCCTTTTCATATTTAGTGCTTTCTTCAGGAGCTCTTGCAAGGCAGGACTGGTGGTAATAAATTCTCTCAGCATTTGCTTGTCTGAAAAGGATCTTATTTCTCCTTCACTTATGAAGCTTAGTTTGACTGGATGTGAAGTTCTGGGTTGGAAATTCTTTTCTTTAAGAATATTGATTATTGGCCCCCAATCTCTTCTAGCTTGTAGAGTTTCTGCTGAGAGGGCTGCTTTTAGTCAGATGGGCTTCCCTTAGTGGGTGACCTGGCCTTTCAGCCTTTCTCTCTGGCTGCCTTTAACATTTTTTCTTTAATTTCAACCTCAGAGAATCTGATGATTATGTGTCTTGGGGATGATCATCTTGTGGAGTATCTTACTGAGGTTCTCTGCATTTCCTGAATTTGAATGTTGGCCTTCTTCCTAGGTTGGGGAAGTTCTCCTGGATCATATCCTGAAGTATGTTTTCCAACTTGATTCCATTCTCCCGGTCTCTCCCAGGTACACCAATCAGTTGAAGGTTTAGTTTCTTTACATAATTCCATATTTCTCAGAGGTTTTGTTAATTCCTTTTCATTCTTTTTTCTCTATTCTTGTCTGCCTGTCTTATTTCAGAAAGTTAGGCTTCAAGCTCTGAGATTTCTTCCTCTGCTTGGTCTGCCTGCTATTAATACTTGTGATTGCATTGTAGTAGTGTGTTTTTCAGCTCTAACATGTCAATTATATTCCTCTCTAACCTGGGTGTTCTGGCTATCAGATCCCATATTGTATTACCATGATTCTTAGCTTCTCTGCATGGGGTACAACATGCTCCTTTACTTCAGTGAAGTTTGTTATTACCCACCTTCTGCAGCCTACTTCTGTCATTTCAGCCATCTCAGCCTTAGCCCAGTTCTGAGCGCTTGCTGGAGAGGTGTTGCAATCATTTGGAGGAAAAGGGGCACTCGGCTTTTTGATTTTTCAGAATTTTTTGCATTGATTGCTTCTCATCTTTGGTGTCTTATCTACCTTCAATGTTTGAAGTTGCTGATTTGGAGATGGAGTTTTGTGGGGTTTGTTGTTGTTGTTGTTTTGTGTTTGTTTTTCTTTTAATAGCCCTGTAGAAGTCTGGCCACTCATCCATAGGGCTATTGTGGTTTGCTGGGAGTCCACTCGAGACACTAGTTGCCTCTGTTTTTCCTGTACCTGGAAGTATAATATCAGCAATGAAGCCTGCAGGACAGCAAAGTTGGCAGCCTGCTGCTTCCTCTGGAAGTTCCATGCTAGGGATAACTGACCTATTGCTGGCCCAAGTGTGCCTGGAGGAAGTGGTTGGAGACTACTGTTGGGAGGTCTCATTCAGTCAGGAGGAATGAGGTCAGGGATTGACTTAAAAAAGCAGTCTGGCTGCTTTTTGATAGAGCCACTGTGCTGTGTTGGAGATTTCTTCAGCCCCTAATCGGTTTGGGCTCTCCAAGGCCCACAGGCTGGACTAGCTGAGAAGCCTGAATGTCCAAGTTGGTGACCTGCCCCACCCTTCAGGCACTTTGTCCCGTGGAGAACACAGGCAGGGGTGGCCAGAGGCCCCAGCTGGGACAACCTGCCCTGGGAAGAAGAATGGATGGGGGGATGGGGCAGTTAAAGAAACAGTCTGGTCACACCTTGACAAAACAGCTATGTTGTGGTGAGGAACTGCCTCTGCCCCCATCAGCTTGGACTCTCCAAAGCCCACAGGCTGTGGAATGACTGAATTGTCCAAACAACCCAGGTGGTGACCCTCCCCTCCCTTGGTCACTCCATCCCAGGGATAGAAAATAGCTCTGTCATGCAGGCAGGTGTGGTTGGAGGGCCCCAGCTGGGAGGTCCCACCCAGTAGGAAGAATGGATCAGGGCTCTGCTTAAAGAAGCAGTCTGGCCATGATCTGGCAAAGCCACTGTGTTACGCTGCTGGGGAAACCTTCCTCCTTGTCTGGACTCTTTGGACTCTCCAAAGCCCACAGGCTGCAAAGGCCCAGTCGACCAAATAGCAGAGATGGTGTCTGTACCTCTCCTCGAGGCTCCATCTGGTCTCAAGAAGGCTTTGTCCTGATGACAGTGGCTGGCTGAAATTCCAAGCCAGTGGGTCTTTTCTTGTAGGGTGCCATGGAAATGGGGCCCACAGAACAATGCCATTCGGCTCCCTGGATTCTGCCCCCTTCCTAGGAGTATGTGCAGACCTCCCGCCTTGCCTGAGTTGCAGACACCTTTGTTGGAAATCCCAGGGTGGAGTTTGTAAAGCTCCACCCTGTCTCTGTGCATGATTGAGCAGTTGTTCTGCCAAGACTCCACACAGCTCTGTGTGTCAGACCCAAGGCTCTGGTGTCATGGGCTCACAAGATCTCCTAATCTGTGAGTTGCAGAAATCCATGGGAGAAGCATGGTTTCTTGGGGTCACATAGTCACTCACTGCTTCCCTTGGCAGGGGTTGGGGGTTCCCTTGGCTCCACGTCGCTCCTGGGTAGGCTGTAGCCCCATCCTGCTTTCCTTCATTCTCCTTGTGTGAAGTTGTTTCCCTAATCCGTCTCCATGTGAGAACCTGAATATTTCATTTGAAAAGGCTGTATTTACTGATCCCTTCCATTCCTCTCCTTGAGCACTGCAGACTTCAGCTGCTTCTCATCAGCCATCTTGGCCCCTGTCTCACCTGTTTCTCTTGATTGGCTAAAAATTCTAGGCTATTTGATTTATTTGGCAATTACCAATTTGAGTGGTCCAAACATTCCTGAATATGACTTGTATCTCATATATTAACTTTTATTACTTTGAAATTCAGTATTATACTAAAAATTGCAACTTCACTTAGGCTATTTTTGTAGGTAATGATACATTACCTTAAAGATGTACCCTTGATTATAAAACTTTTCACATTAAAGATCTGATCTGATAGACACAATAGCTTCTATAACAAAGAAGAAAAGTCACACAAAATTCGCCATCACTTAGTTACATAAAATATTATTTTTTACATTAAAATAAAAGTAACATTAAAATGCATGCAAAACCTGGGAAATACAAATGTCAAATATACTGGTTTAATATAAATCATGAATAAGAAATTATACCACTGCATAATAATACCAAGACATTAGGAGAAAATATAGGCAAATGATATACAAGATAACTCATAAAAGAAAAAAATATTATATAAACACCCAATGCTTAATTTTTATCAAGTAAGTAAATACATTTTAAAGTGATACTTTCAGTGTTGGTATTTGACAAAATGGATCCTTTGTATTGTTCTGCAAGTCAGAAAATACTTTCAGGAAAATAGCTAGACAGTATGTCTTCGGACACTTGAAATCTCTTACAATACAGTATTTTGGTCCAAAAATCATAAGGCAAAAAAAGAAATGACCACTAGGATTTAAGTCCAAATATGTAATTTGCAACATTAATTACAATGTCAAAAATTGGGAAAAAATTAAACACATAGAAATATGTTGATAGCATTTAAAATGTGCTAACTTTTAATTGTATGGGGAAATATATAATATTAAGTAAAACTTGTAGGATACAAAATGTATCAATCTATCGATCTAATTAAATATATGCAGTCATGTGTCACTTTAAAATGGGGATGCGTTCTGAGAAATTCTGTGTGAGTTTCAACACTTTGTAAATACAAGAGTCTGCAAAGACAAACGTAAATTGTATAGCCTATTACACACCTAGGCTATATGGTAGAGCTTATTGCTCCTAGTGTAGAAATCTGTATAGCATGTTACTGTACTGAATACTTTAGGCAACTGTGTAAAAAACTGGTAAGTATTTGCATATCAAAAAATAGAATGGATACAGTGAAAATACAGTATTAAATTTGATGTTAACACCATTATATATGAAGCCCATCGTTGAAAGAAATGTCATTATGTGGTGCATGACTGTTTGTGGAAAACATATGAAAGAAAATAGACCAAATTATTTTTAGAGGTGGAAATATTTTTGCATTACATTTCACTTGTTTCTTCATAATATTCTCTGCTTCTAATAACGAACGTGTATTCATTGTGCTACCAGGGGAAAATAGCCTGAAATTATTTTTAAAACAAGACCCAATAGAGGAAAAGAAGGAAGAGCAGGGGGAGAGTAACCAGAAACAAAAGACATTTTTGTTTTTTGTACACATAAAAACATTTTATGTGTACTTCCATAAAATATGCACACATGCACACGTGTGCACACACACACACTGCAGTTGAATTATATCTAAAGATGTTTATTTTTTCAAACTTTTCATTTTTTATCCCAAATGAAACATGTAGAGTAACCTTTTAAAATCAACTGTGGCTTATAGCAGTGTGACATTACTGTTTTCAAAGAAGTAACTGACTTTGTGACCTTACCAAAAAAAGTTTATTAGCTTTACATTGGAAAGCAGTTTACTGATGGAGTTTTACTGACTGACTGGAATTTACAACAGCCAGGGAGAAATATCCACTCAAATATCTACTGCCATTCTTTAATGCAGTTACCTAAATATCAGACGTGTCTACCTGCTGCTCAGTCTACTAGTGTAAATATTTAAATAAAACTCAGTGTGACCTTTTCACTTAGTTCTGAATTTTCTTCCTCTCTCTTCCTCTTCCTCCTCTTGTCCCTCTCCTTTTCCTTGTCTCATTTTACGCATACACACTGATTTACCATCACACATCAACATTTGATTTCATCACCATAAAAGAAGAAAATATGTTCTAGGAAGATAATAGAAAATGTAAGGTATGGGGGCATTAGCATACAAAGGGAGAAAGGAAGGAAGGAAGGAAGGAGGGAGTGTGGGAGGGGAAAGAAAGGGAGAGGAAAGAAAGAAAGAAGGAAAGGAAGGAAGGAAGGAAGGAAGAATTTAGTGTGACAGTCAATTGTTTATCTCTTATTTCCATTATGCTATTTATTCTGAAACCCTATTATATTTTTATAGTGATTAATTTTGCCTGACCATAAAAAGCAATTCTTGAATAGACAACATAGATGAAACAAACTATGTAAACTTTATCCAGGGATGACCTTAATAAATATGTTAGATTCTAACAATCTTTTACTTTTATTTATAGTTTTGTTGCTATGGAGATCTTATTTCAGAACTAAAAGCTACATATATAATTCTGAATGTTATCATTTTAATTAAAAGATAACAAGTAAATTTTCTATGCCATTAACAATTGCATATTGTTCTCTTTACAACAATGTCTTTTGGAGTCAATGAAAATTAAAAATGGTCTTGCTATGTGGTCTTAATAATAATTATAACAGTCATAAAAGATTAACAGGTAACAGTTATGTTCACTATATGCCAGAAAGTGTATTAAATTCTTTGCCTGTACTAACTCATTGAATCCTCATGCAACCTTACAAAGCAGGTACTATTATCTTCCCTATTGTATATATGAGAAAATGGAGACCAAGCATTCTCAACTTGTCCTGGAACCCAAGCTAAAAGTGGAGCCAGCATCAGAACCCAGAAGGCTTCTGTAAAAGCCCACGTGACACTGACTTTATAACAAACCTACCAAAATTTAGCAGAATTCATTGCACAGTCATAAAACACTCATTTTCCCCCTTTTTAAAAAAGCACTTTTTTCCATGTTTAATAACTTGTACGTACTTTGAACATAAAGTATTTTTTTACTATTACATTTTATTTTATTTATTTATTTATTTTTCTTTTTTTTCATTTATTATTATTATACTTTAAGTTTTAGGGTACATGTGCACAATGTGCTGGTTAGTTACATATGTATACATGTGACATGCTGGTGCGCTGCACCCACTAACTCGTCATCTAGCATTAGGTATATCTCCCAATGCTATCCCTCCCCCCTACCCCCAACCCACAACAGTCCCCAGAACATAAAGTATTTTTAAGTGTCGTTACTTACTGGTATCCCAGGTTAACTCGAATGGATAGAGCTTTGATGGAATGTCAGCCTCTAGGTGCTGTAAATGAAAGATCTTCTGCTTCACAGAGTTGGCCATAGCATCATTGCATTGTTTCTTTTTCACTTCTGTGTACGCAGGAAGCAACCAGCTTGGCCCCATATATGGCCACACATCAGTGATGACAGGAAGTTTGCTGGATGACCACCACTGGCACTCTGTGGTCATTGAGCGCCAGGGGCGGAGCATTAACCTCACTCTGGACAGGAGCATGCAGCACTTCCGTACCAATGGAGAGTTTGACTACCTGGACTTGGACTATGAGGTACATGTGATGACGTAGAAATTGTAATAAAATGTCAAGCAATTGTGTCACTCTCCTACTGTATTGTATTATTGTTAATTATATTACTACTTACACCTTTTTTATTTTCTTCTCTAAACAAGACACTGACAATTTTAAAAACCTGATTAATTCGTTTCATTTTATTTCTAAATTTATAATCATGAGTACTTGAACTATTATAAAAATCTTAGTACCAATGTAATAATTTGAAGAGAGGAACCATGCTATCCAGGCCATTTAATAAATTCAGAATAAATTTAATTTGTAATCCTTTCATTGGTAGTTAATCATGTTATCAATTCTTCTTGAGAATGTGCAGTACATTATATGCAGAGGGTTGTCTAATATTTATTATAAAGTATTGAATAAGAAATCTTAGTTTCTGGTTTATATTAAGTCATTTAGAAACTCATGACTGTAGATGGGTCTTTTGACAAGCTCTGTTTTCTCAGAATCAATATCACAAAAGCAATAAAGTAAAATACAGACTATTTTAAAAAGATTGTTCATGAACAAAAAGACATATATTACCTTCTCAATAATTAGAGATTAAAAATAATCAATGATCACGTTTATATAAATAAAAATATATTCTCATAGGTTAAAAGTAGGTATATCATATTTTTAAATTATTTGGAGAGCAATTCAACCTTAAAATATCCATTAAAACTGTTAATCATATACGTAGGTGAGCTCTTTAAGATGTTTGTCAGCCGGGCGTGGTGGCGCATGCCTGTAATCTCAGCACTTTGGGAGGCTGACGCGGGCGGATCACAGGGTCAGGAGTTCAAGACCAGCCGGACAAACATGGTGAAACTCCGTCTCTGCTAAAAATACAAAAATTAGCTGGTTGTGGTGGCACGTGCCTGTAATCCCAGCTACTCAGGAGGCTGAGGCAGGAGAATCGCTTGAACCCAGGAGGTGGAGGTGGCAGTGAGCTGAGATTGTGCCCCTGCACTCCAGCCTGGGCAACAGAGCAAAACTGCCTCAAAAAAAACAACAACGAAAAAAAGATGTTTGTCACAGTATTATACATCCTAGGAGAAAAGGATAACACTATACATACAAAAGCAGCAGAACGGTAAGATAAAAGGGACACAATGCTATTACTTAGCCAGAAGTTTCCGAACTTTCTTAGTTCATGGAGCCCTTAGTGTCTTCGAACTTTTTCCACAGCAGTCCTGAGCCGTTAGGTCCAAACAACCTAAAAATTTACGTCCTAAGACTTTGGTAGCCATTTAGAGAAATAAACACAAAATAAAAGTGAAAGTAGATTTTTATTTCATTCTTAAACAACAGCAATTATTACTAATGGGATGAGTGCTATTGCACTGTACGACTGGCAGAAATGGGGATCAGATTTGCCAATGGCATTCTAATTTTCTGTTCCACTTTTACTCTACATGATACTCTGTCTTAATCAGAGTAATGAGAGTAATGACCAAATCCAAAATTCACAAAGACAGCACATCATTAAAAGGAATGACACATTATCTAATACTGGAACAGTAAACTACCTTAAGCTAGAGTTTCACACAATGTCCAAAAGGTGTCAAATATTGTTGTGTTTTCTTTAAAAATTTCAAACATGCTATGGCACCCCTATTAGTTTTCTGCACCACCTTCATGTTCCTTGGCACCCAGTTCTGAAATTGGAGATGTATTCATATATATATGTGTGTGTTATGTATATTTATGTATAATTTTATAAGAATATGGAATATGCTCATCATAAAATAAATGGAAAAAACAGGATTAATAGCTGTGTTTTCTATTATCTTTATGTTTAAATAGTTTCTAGTTTTTTGCAATATGAATATACGATATATATTCTTAAATAAAAAATTTAGAGTAGAATATGCTATATAAACACTGATGGAGACTTTATTAACATTAAATGAATTTAAGATTATTGGAAAGTATTTTATCCCTCCCCCTAAAAAAAACTCTTAAAAGCAAACTGATTGTTAAAAGAAAATGTATGTGAACATCCCAGAAATTTCTATCTTCTCTAAATTAGTATGTGTCTTGGCTCATGTGACTTATCTCCCAATGTATGAGAGATCTTAAAGATGAATTATTCATCCTCTGTTAATAAACTTTGAAGTACCATAGAAGAGGTGAAAATTCTGGAACATTAAGAATGAAGAAATATAATTCTAATTTTCAAAAAACCAAATTAAAAATTTGGGGTCATAAACCCTGTTGAGTGTGTGACGAAGTCTATGACTATTCACGCACACACAACACTTGCTATATCGGATCAGCAGTTTCATGGACACTTTGAAGCCCATCTATATACAATGTCGTGTTTGAGAACTGCAGGTATAGACTAAAATACCTGGAACTTATTTATTAGACAGAAACAGTAGGAAGAAATTTAAATTAACTGACAAAGAATCAGGGTAGACTTACCATTTCTGGCTACTGCCAGATTATGGTCCTCTTAGAGACTGCAATTATTGGCATGAAATGTAATAAAAGTGGCTGTGCTTACCTTTATATTGCTACACTTTTCTCTTAATGGAAAGGGACTCCCTTTGCTTATTTGTTTAGAAAAAACCTCAGGGACTGGGCCAGGCATGGTGGCTCACGCCTGTAATCCTAGCACTTTGGGAGGCCAAGGCGGGTGGTTCACCTGTGCTCAGGAGTTTAAGACCAGCCTGGCCAATGTGGTGAAACCCCCGTCTCCACTAAAAATACAAAAATTAGCCAGGCATGGTGGCAGGCATCTGTAATCCCAGCTACTTGGGAGGCTGAGGCAGGAGAATCACTTGAACTCAGGAGGCAGAGGTTTCAGTGAGCCAAAATCATGCCATTGCACTCCAGCTTGGGCAAAAAGAGTGAAATTCCATCTCAAAAACAAAACAAAAAACAAACAAACACCTCACGGACTGTATTAGAGTCAGTCTCTAGTTTTGTTGTACTTATCTCCTTGATATATCCACACACTAACTATACTCAAACCTCACAGACTGCATGAAAATTAGCTTCAAACCTAAAATAATACAAATTATACAACATTCATTCCTGAACTATTTAAAGGCTTTGGCCTAAAGGAAGAGAAAGCTCGTCTTGTTATCTTCACAAAACCTGAAGATGCAATGTCCTGCTTCCCCAAGATTATACTGCCTCAATCAATTCTTCCAGAGTACACTAAGGACAAAGGCATTGAGGCCCAAAGGTGGAGGTATGCTGGTAAATGCTTAACAACCAGCTCTCTCCAGGGAGGAATGGTCAGGAATGCCCTGATATATAGCATTTGTTAATTTTCATGGTGCGAATTTCCCACCATGGTTGATTTCATGCTACCATATATGGAACTGAGCAGGGAGTTGCAAAGAGGTGCCTAATAGCACTATATGACGGTATTTCCATCATATAGTTGCAATAAATATAAATGACCTCAAGAACATATACGAAAGTAAAGTGTAGAGATAAATTCTGAATAGGTATGAATTTTGTGTTTCATGTAATTTACTTAATTTATAGCTTATGTAGTGGAAGTTTTAATAATAGCTCTGCTTAGCAGTCGGTTCTTGTGAACCAGTATGAGTGGGATTCAGCACAGCACTGCTAGCGTAAATTAAATATACTTACCACAATTTCTGGAGATGAACATCATGAAAGAAGTGATGGAATACAAGTTCACTCCTTTGATGTAACTCTATGTGGACATTTCCTTTTTTTCCTTTTTTTTTTTTTTTTTTTTTTTGAGATGAAGTCTTGCTCTATCACTAGGCTGGAGTGCAGTGGCGCGATTTTGGCTCACTGCAACCTCCGCCTCCCGGGTTCAAGTGATTCTCCTGGCTCAGCCTCCTGAGTAGCTGGGACTACAGGCACCTGCCACTATGCCCGGCTATTTTTTTGTATTTTTAGTAGAGATGGGGTTTCACTGTGTTAGCCAGGATGGTCTCGATCTCCTGACCTCATGATCCACCCACCTCGGCCTCCCAAAGTGCTGGGATTACAGGTGTAAGCCACCCCACCCAGCCCTAATTTTTGTATTTTTAGTATAGATGGGGTTTCACCATGTCGACCAGGATGGTCTCGATCTCTTGGCCTCGTGATCTGCCCGCCTCAGCCTCCCAAAATGCTGGGATTACAGACATAAGTCACCGCTCCCGGCATATATGGACATTTTTTGTGACCTAGTCCTAAGAGTTTGTCTCATCCCCTCCTCTTGTAGCTGCCTACACTGCAAAGTGGGCCAATCACCACCTGCAATGAGGCTGCTAGCTACAGGGTGGCTTGAGACTGTGTGGTGATATATACGTGCACTTCACTTCATTTTTCCTCAGCGTAGTCAATAAAAACCAAAGGGGAGAGCAGCAAAATGGTGTTTGGCTTAGATTCTCTCTGTTCTTCAGAGGACACCCACTGTGGATATTATGCTGTTGTCTTTTGCAATACAGCTCTGCTAGGGAAGTAGAGGAATGACTCTCTTGACCATTGCAGAACCACAGACTGCCTAGGAAGAAAATCAGTCACAGGAGGAGAAGCCCGAGTTTGAACCTGTTTCTGCCCTTTAATGGTTGTGTGACAGTGGACAATTCATATTCCCCTTTGATGAAATGAATCTAATCGCATTCTTTCCATAGGGTTTATGAGGAGGCAACAGGAAGTAATAGAAAAAAATGTGTGTGAGTTAAGATTACATAGGCTACATTTAATGGATGCACGTTTATTCTCCTTTATGTAAAAGAAGACTGGAGGCAAATGGCTGCTCCACGATCTTCAAGATCACAGTCCTTTTTAATCTTGCTCTTCCTCTATCCCTGTTGCAAATCACTCAAAGACGGCTGCTAACATTTCACTTTGCACTTCAGCTAGCAAGAAGGAAGAGAGAGTAAACAAGACTGTGTCCTCCCCCTCTTAATGACAGTTCTTAGAATCGCATACAGCCCTTCCACTTAAATATCATGAGACCAAAACTGGCTTCAAAGAAGTTGATAATTTATTATATTGACTGGGGAGCAATGTGCCCAGCTGAAAAGCATTATTTTTTTTCCCTAATGAGGGTAGGAAGAAAGGATATGTAGAGGTATCCAATAGTCCCTGCGACATTTTGTGTACACTTGAAAGCTAACAAAATCGTTACTGCAGTTATTTCTTTAGAGGCAAGGTTATTGGATGGCAAGGTCATTAATAAATGTATCATATGAGCCACAGGAATAATTGAATATTAATCGGACAACTGCAACAATATTTGTTACTATCAGCTTCGTTAAAGTGTCAGAAAATATTCTGTGGTCCAACCAGTTTATTTTACCAATGAGAATTTTATTTTATTATTATTAATATTTGAGACGGACTCTTTCTCTGTATGCCCAGGCTGGAGTGCAATGGCAAGATCTCAGCTCACCGCAATCTCCGCCTCCTGGGTTCAAGTTATTCTCCTGTTTCAGCCTCCCAAATAGCTGGGATTACAGGCATGCACCACCACGCCCAGCTAATTTTGTATTTTTAGTAGAGATGGGGTTTCTCCATGTTGATCAGGCTGGTCTCGAACTCCTGATCTCAGGTGATCCACCCGCCTTGGCCTCCCAAAGTGCTGGGATTACAGGTGTGAGCCACCATGCCTGGCCCACCAATGAGAATTTATAACTAGAAAGAATAAATGACAACCTAATATCCTATAATTAGTTACCTTAGGAATTGGGGTCAGAATTCACTAAATTGTTCGGATCTGTTAACTTGAGCCTGCATTGCTTTTCCAGAGCACCTTGATGAGGTGGACTTGTGCCTAGAGTTGCTGAAAACAGGGAAACTGTAAGGATAATTTGAATCCCCTGCAGAAAGTGAAAGGTCCGAATTAAAGAAATATGCACACAGAGGAATATGTATTTAATAATATTAAACATTGACGGTATTATTACTGTCAGTTGGGGAAAAATTGTTCAAAAAGATTGTAAACAGGAGACGTAGTACTCCATTTTAGTATCAAAAATGATTGCCTTTGGTACTAGGCACACTTAGGTAGTACCTAATATGTTCATTTCAGTGCAACTTGAAAACATTTTCCCAATAATTCTACTTTAGATTACTATTTCTTCTTTGTAGTTTTCTGATTCTTTGGGATATATTTTTCCTCAATTTTCCTTTTACCTTCTTATATATGAACTGTGTGGCAAATAATACATATTCAGCTAACCATTATTAATAATAATTGATTTTATTGTAAATGAGGCCTTTGTTTTTTTTTTTACCATCACCTCATAAACCACAATTTGTGTTTCCCCCCCTAAAAGTACTTAAGCATTTAAGATGCCATAACACTAAATCATAGAACATAATTTGTTCATGGACCTTCCAGAACACAGAATATTTGACTTATGCTTCAAATATGAAGTCGTGATTTTTAAAAATGTCTTCACTGTTGCTTTCATTTCACCCCATCAAACATGCTCTGGAAAAGCACCACAGGCTCAAGTTAACAGATTCCTAACCATTTAGTGAGTTCTAACCCCAATCCCTAATGTAACTAATGATAGGATATTAGGCTGTCATTGATTCTTTATAGTTATATATTCTCATTGAAAATAAAGTGGTTGGACCACAGAGCATTTTCTGACATTTTAATGAAGCTGATAGTAAAAAAAATAGATAATGGTAATATTGTATGATAATTTAAAAGATATATATTACAAGTATTGTATATCTTGATATTATAATTAGCGGTTGGCTTCATTTACTACTAATTCACTATTCATAGTAAATATCATCCTTGACCATGCAAATACTAAATGCAATTTTGTATCATATAAATTTAATGCTATAGTGTATATTGATCAAAAATGTATAAGAAATGGATATTTTCTTTCTATAAGCGATAGCAGCCAGAGAAACACAGTAAGTAGCATTGTCTTATTTCTTAAGATTTAAAAGACCTATAATATCTTTAAGCCTACACAGCTCAACTTTGAGTTCCCAAATCCTAAGTGGTCCCTAATCAATATTGTAATGATATTTTTTGAACTATTTTCTACATCCAAAATAAATCTAATGAATTTTTGACAATAATGGTCATTAGACTACAAGTCTGCATAGGGTAAATACGATATCCCTTGCTTTGGGCTGCAGTTTTATCAGCTTATTAAATTAGTGCTGATTATCTCATGCTTACTGGAGGCATTTATTGATAGTATGTCTTTGAATGATAAACATAAAAATATATTTCTAATATTATTTGATACAAGAAGTTTGCTGAATAAAAATCTTTTAAAATATTCTCAAGAAAATTTATAAAATGCCTTTGGGGCAGTAAAATTGCAAAGGATCATTGCTTTTTTTTGTTCAAGTTATAATCTAATTATCAGAATGAATGACTCCATTAGACACTTCAACAACAACATAATTTAATATGCCATAGATTTTGGAGGCAGAATGCTATAATATTTGTATATTTTGGTTGAGGTATAGATACTTGACCTTCACTGTATTCATAGTTTTGTCTAGTTCATCATAATACAATGTGGACGTTTACATTTAATTTCTTTTTCTCAAAGATAACCTTTGGAGGCATCCCTTTCTCTGGCAAGCCCAGCTCCAGCAGTAGAAAGAATTTCAAAGGCTGCATGGAAAGCATCAACTACAATGGCGTCAACATTACTGATCTTGCCAGAAGGAAGAAATTAGAGCCCTCAAATGTGGTAAGGATTTTCACCCGCAAAATATTGGTCTATAAAATATCAAGTAACATTTTTGTTTTTTGGATTATTGAACAACAACAAAATCATGACATTTTTCATCATATTTGTGTTTGGGCAAAATGATGTAAAACAAACATTAGAGTTATCAGAATTAGTATAGATACTTGCTATTCTTTGAGAATAGCTAATGGGACTAGCTTGAAGTAGGTGGTTGGTTTTATTCCCACGGAGCACAGAATGTTAGACTCAATATTTCTGGATGACTCGTGGCACGTGCTTCATCCCAGCAGTTAGCAGCCCTTAAACCGGCAGCATCGTGTTTTCAAATATCTCATCACATGTGCTCTAAGTTACTTGCTTATGGTTTAATTTAATATTTTTAAAGTTTTTAAATCAGGGACTTTATTATATTTACTCCTGTGCTTCCAAAGATGATTTGTTTGAATATGTAAATAAATACACTTTTTAGCAAATCTCTAACCAGACTAAATATTACACAGTTAAATAAAGCTTGATTTCCACTGCATAGCCAAAGCTGTGCCACAGAAGTTCACAGTGATTTTTTTCTGCCTTTTGTGTGAGTTGGTGCCAGGTTTCATTAGATTTTGGAAGGAGAGCAAAAGTCAAAGAAAGCCCCAGCACACATGCTTCCAAACGACACTACTCCACATCCCTAAAAGACACTTAGTTTGCAATTTTAGTATGAGAGTTCCCTATGGCTCTGCAAGACCAGGAGCTGCTTTAGCCCAGAGAGGCTATTTGGGAGAGCTTAGAATTCCAGAGACCCATACAATAAGAAGATATTATGCACTATAAGTACAATAATGTCATGAGTGTTTGCACTGTGCTCCAAAAGAGCTCTGATGGTCTCGTTGCCTCAAATTTGAGCCCAGGGTTTCATAAAATGATTTGACAAATGGAAATCCCTGAATGAATAAACAGTTCAGGTTGAATATGGAAGGTTTAAAACAATAACTTCATGCAAATGATTATTTAATAAATAATTTTCTTAAAGTAATCATAAATTTATACTAGAAATTAAAACTTGAACTTTGGTTAAATTTTCTCATAAAGTATATTGACTATGGAAAAATAATAATAGCTCCATTTATAGGCAACAGGTATTGTGCTAGGCAAGTCGTATTTTATATTTAGGATGATCTGAGAACAATACTGCAAGAAGGATACAAACATTTTGTAGATGAAAACATTGCGATTTAACATGGAAAAAATAAGTTATTTTATGAGAAAAATAACTTTTATTTTATGAGTAGGAGATAAAAAGATAGATGTATAGCCTGGTATAGTGGGTTGCTGCTGTAATCCCAACACTGTGGGAGGCCAAGGCAGGAGGATCACTTGAGTCCAGGAGTTTGAGACCAGCCTGGGCAACATAGTGAGACCATGTCTCTACAACAAGTTAAGAAAATTAAAATTAAAAAAATAAATCAAATTGAATTAAAAAATTAGCTGGGCATAATGGTGCATGCATGTAGTCCTAGCTGCTTGAGAGGCTGAGGTAGGAGGATCACTTGAGCCCACAAGTTTGAGGCTGCAGTGAGCCATGATTGAACTACTGCATTCCAGCCTGGGCAACAGACTGAGACTCTGTCCCCCCAAAAATAAAAGAATAAAAAAAGATTATGGATTCACAATATGTGAGTTTGATTATGCTCTATAATTACATTTTATTTTAACAAATAATTGCAGTGAGAAAACATAGAATAAACTTTTGAATCAAAATATACATACATACAGAAAATCTTAGATGGGATAGAGACAAATAGGACATTTTGCAAGCAACCCTGCAAAGACAAGTGTTTATATAAGAAATGTACTTTCAAAGATGTTGGGTGCTGGTATTTCAGTGAAATTGACTGAGCACTCATTCTACCTCCTCTTCCCCCACATACTCATTCCCTCATTATGCATTGACTCCAAAGTCAGCACCGTTACTCTGGAAGGATCTTTAATTTTGCTAGGGAGACAATCCCCTCAAAAGAGGTATGTGGTCAGTTATAAAATCTCAATTATTATGCATAGGCAGTTCTTTTTATCAGTAAAAGCGAGCATTTAAAAATAATCATCTGTGATGGTACAGAGCAAATTTAATTTGAATATTAATTCAGAGAGACTGCCTGCCTTAGATTTAATGGTTATTGTGCTAAAATGGAAGAAATCAGCATCAGGTATATATATATATACACATATATATATGTGTATATATATGTGTGTATATATATGTATATATGTGTATATATACACACACATATATATACCATATACATATATATACCATATACATATACATGTACCATATACATATATATGTACCATATACATATACATATACCATACACATGTATACCATATACATATACATATACCATACACATGTATACCATATACATATACCATATACATATATATGGTGTTGTTAAAAATATATAGAGAAAAAGAGAGACAGACATAGAGATAGAACCAATGAAAATATCATCCAATTACATTCCTTAAAATATTATGATAGGATAAAAGAAGTTAGAAGCAAATACAGATTTTTAGACCTGTAAAGAGAATGTAGTTAGGCACTGAAATATACAATTTAGTGTATCTGAATGATAAATATTTTTTTCTTTTTTTTCTTTTGCTTATACCAAGGAGGAGGAGTATAGAAGGGGAGGGGAAAGCCTGAATTATTGCAAATTTTATCTCCATTTAGCCCATTTATAGTGCTAGTTATACAGGAATTAATGCATTGTGATATAAGCACAATTCATGGGAATTTAAATGGGATTTTGAGTTGGATACTAAAATAATCTCCAACAACCACAATTACATTAATGCTGAAAACTTAATATCTATCTATCTATATATGCATATACAAGGTATATAGATAAAAATCCAAATATATTTCCCTAAAATATCAGTTTCATAAATTGCAAACATATGACCATAGTCCCCACTGAGACCAGAGTAATATGTTAATTAATGTTGGCAT
Source organism: Homo sapiens (assembly GCF_000001405.40). Taxonomy (NCBI): domain Eukaryota; kingdom Metazoa; phylum Chordata; class Mammalia; order Primates; family Hominidae; genus Homo; species Homo sapiens. The sequence goes on from NC_000007.14 coordinate 147,131,835, forward strand.
TGACCACCCAGAATAGGACAGAGCATCTCTCTCCCTGACTTATGTTCGGCCAGCAGTAGCTTTGCTGTCTTCAGAAAGTCTAGTGATCCACAGTCACACCCACAACACACATACACACTTTACAACTCATGGTCAGCCTATCACATCAGGCTGTCTGGCTGTCAATCCCATGGTGGAAGCTGCTTGTTATAGTTAGACAGCCAACTGCTGCTCAGTAGTAGGTCTTACACTCCAAGTAGATCCGTAGTGGTGCATCCAGTCACTGAATCCATGCTCTGCTGCTGTGTGTGAGTTTAGCTTAGGCTCAGGCTGTGCTTCAAAACTTGTAGAACTATACTTTCATCAGTGGTCTGACATGGATGTTCATTTTATTCTGTGTTTTCCTCAGAGCCTGTCTTTCTATTTTACAGGGAAATTTGAGCTTTTCTTGTGTGGAACCCTATACGGTGCCTGTCTTTTTCAACGCTACAAGTTACCTGGAGGTGCCCGGACGGCTTAACCAGGACCTGTTCTCAGTCAGTTTCCAGTTTAGGACATGGAACCCCAATGGTCTCCTGGTCTTCAGTCACTTTGCGGATAATTTGGGCAATGTGGAGATTGACCTCACTGAAAGCAAAGTGGGTGTTCACATCAACATCACACAGACCAAGATGAGCCAAATCGATATTTCCTCAGGTCAGTGAAACCTATTTGACATTTGTTCCTGAAACTTATTGCAATTTCCAGAGTTAATGTTGTGCTTTGTTTGGTTTTGCTGGTGTTACACGCTCAGGATTAGGTTTTAATTCAGATCTTCAAGACGCTTACTTGGTTGTAGTGTGTGCTGATTGAATAAAGAAAACTTGGAAAGTTGTTGAGAGAGCAAGGCATGGGTGAAGGAGAAAATTGGTTGAGATTGGAAAAGCAAAATCTATTCCTTACCAATGCTAGTTTATTTTTAATAGATAAATTGCTCTTCTTTTAAGTGAATAATTTATGTTTAAAAACAAGGAATGTTTATTTTAAAAACACAATTGTATCTGGTATCTTTTCTCTTTATCAACATTCGTGTACCTTTTACTATTAGTAACAAGATTATACTAATTTTAACTTTAAGGAATATTCCACTGCTGGAATCAGAACTTCAAAATGATCTTGCTAAAATTATGCAAATGGTTGGAAAAGAAAACGAAAGTGAATATAAAGGTGGAATGACAAGATTTGTGTATCAACTGACGGAAGACTGGCTTAGGCAAAAATAGGATAATTTTAAATTTGGCTTTGTAGTGATATGACAAATAGAGGCTTAGGTAATATTCTTGTTATTTGAATAGACTTCGCAACCTTGGAAGTTCTTTGATAAATACAGTACAAAGAAAGGTGACATTGTAAATTGTGATGTTATAAGCAAAGAAAAATTAGTCTCAATATTGGACTGATAAATAGTAACTGTTTTCATCTATTTTTCTTGAGATAGTCTTTGCAATAGTCATACATATATATTGTGAAGAACTACTTAGAAATGGGAGATACAAAGAAAACTAACATTTACTGAACACTTAGTACAGATGTAGCAGATACTGAAAGGAGTCATGACAGAGAGCTCAATTGGGTGACCATGGACTCTGATTTCTGAATATGCCATATACTCTCATGGCACCCTATGCATATACCTGACACGGTTTCTAACACACTATGATTTTTGTCCCTCTCTTTTCCCCTCTAGGCTCCATGCTCCTTGACAGCAGGGACCATGCTCCTTTTTCTTCTGTCTCTGGCATATAGAATAGTACCTGTAAGAGGTGCTCTCCAATATTTGTTGAATTCAATACTCTGACCCCTTTCAACTAACAGAATATCCCCTGCTATAGAACATATATATTTTCTTGTAAAATAGGCTTTATGTTTGTGTGTGGCCTGAATGTATGGTCTATTACTGAAAAGGATTCAAGGAAGCCACAAGAAATGTTATGTCAGAGATGTGCCTAAATTATTGAAATCAAAGGTATTGGGAAATACCTAGTTATTCACTTTCTCCATTTCTGCTTTATTAGTTTTGCTTTTTCCTTGAATGTCTAGTCAAAATGATTAATCAACCATATTTTATCACTACATTCGTTTATAAGTATACCTAGGGAGGTTTACAGCAAATCGAAAATATCTGGAGAGACCAGAAAAACAGATAAAACAAAAACAAAAGCAAATGTTTGCCACAGTTGAAAAACTCCCACATTATATTGTTATGATTAATGATTATTGCCTAATGACTAAACATAAAAATATTAGTATGAAGGCCTGTCTCCTTGCAGTCTCTGAGCAAATCCGATTTGCTGGTGGGTTTCCATGTAACAGGAGCCAATATATTTGAAAGGATAAGATATTAACCCTAGTGGTCAATAAACATGTATTAATTTGATTTGGTGTAATTTAGTACTCCAAGATACTCTCACCTAATTTAAGCTGTGTTTATTTTGAAAATTAAAGATAGAATGAACAAAGAAATCCAATACATGACAGTTAATTCACCTTAATAGATTTGCTTAAACCTAATAAAAATGGACTGAAGAGTTTTTGTCAATTTAGCCAAGAATCTGTGCAAATTAATTGAAAAGATATAAAATCTAAAGATTTCCGTAGTATTACCCTTCTATAATCCAGTGAAAATACCTTACTGCTTCAAGCATTTTATATAAATATATATATATACAGACATACATACACACATACATACATAGTGGAAACTAAGTGCTCATATTTGAGAAACATTAGTTGAAAAAAAAATTCAACCATTTAAAAAAGTTATATTTTATATTCATTCATTCAATCTAAAAGTACATATGGAAACCATAGGACATAATTTCCTCTGTCTTTTAATGTATTTTATCAAATTCAATTAAATGTGTAAATAAGTTAGTAAAGTGGCAACACTGAGAAAACAGTTAAGTCAGGATTCTAATGTTTGCTTTAACAAAGGGAAATATATCTGTATCACAGCTATTCTACTCTTATCAGCATGAGCATTGAAGAATGTCAGTCCACTTCTCCTTTTGTCAAATATTTTGATTGAAAGAATTTAGAAAATGCAGAAAATCTAGAAAAGAAAAATAACCAGTGATAAAATTTTGGTGTACACACACAAAGTAGTGCACTGAGAAGGTAATATAGAGACTCTCAGATACTGTTAATATATACTGGTAACTTAGTTTTTATTTAATAAATTCCATGGTCCAGGATGAATGTAACCCAATTAGATCAAAAACCTTTTTTTCCATCTTGGTCAACACTGTTCTTTGGGAATTAATTTAAAATATTAAATACATCTTACAAGTAAAATAATGTTTAATATATTGTTCACCCTATCTTTGTATCTTTCTTTCCAAGTTGTGATTACTGTCTTCAAGAGTCTCATTAGTAATCAACAGTAGACTTGACTTATGAAATTCAGTCAAACTCAGTAGCCTTGAATTTACAGAGTGGATTATCTTACCATGAAAATATTGAACAAGTTGCAACATCAACGTTTTCTGATGGATAGCCAAAAACAAACAAACAAACAACAACAACAAAAAACCCTACTTACTTTTTGAAATAAGTTTTTATTTCAAAGTGACTCAATTTTATCCCAGTACATCATTTTTTAGGACAGAAGTTACTGATTTATGAATACATATTTAGGCATTACTTTTAACTAGGCATAAATGATAATATTAAACAGGTGCAAAAAGGGTCTAATGAATAATAGCTGTTCATTCTGGGCATAATTTTCATTTTAACTTTAAAATTCAAAACTCTGGGGAAGGTGGACCTAGAACCATGTTTTTCAAATAATTTTGATCAAAGTACAGTAAGAAAATATTTTATGTCATACCCAAAACCTACTGACACAAAGTTTGATGAAATAAAACTTGCCTTGCTATTTTAGATGCACTATGATAAGTGTGATATTTTCTTTTCTTTTGCTTTATTCTTAAAAAAAAAAAAAGCCATAACCCACTATAATAATTTCATGTCCTAAATACAGTTTGGAAAACACCGACCTGACCTGCATTCTTTTTCTTATTTGAAGTGTTGGAATTTTTAAAAGTTTTAGTTGCCTGGAAGTATTAACTCCATCACTCTATATTGGAAAACTAAATTTGTCTTATGGGAACAGTATTATAATATTATAATGGTAGTAAAAAAGCATTAATGTACATTACTATTTGAATTATAGCAAAAAAAAAAACCTACCTTTTGAAGTAAGTTTTTATTTCAAAATGCCTCAATTTTATGCCACTAAATACAAACATATTTAGAACAATACTCAGTTGTCGTCTGCCAATATTAACAAGGTAATACAATGTGATTCAGCATTTATTATAGTGGGGAGAAAGTGATTTATCTTAATATTCTCTCTCAGTTATTGGAAAAAAATTAACTTCTCTCCATGTATAAACAAAGCCTTTCCAAAAAGTCATTCAGAATATGTCCTGTCCTAAATCAGCTGTTTTCTTATACTCAAGTATTGGAACATCCTTGTTTTGTTAATGTAGGTATTGCTTCAATTTTCGAATGGCTGTTCAGTGTCCACACTGTCTCAGAAATATGTAATCAGAAAAGATTTTCTCATTTGTATTTTCATCTCCAAAGGAAATCTTCTGTGGACTTGTTTTATTTACTTTGCTTCTTAGTAAAATTTCCTTTGTAAATCATTGTGTTCCATTGGGTGTCTCAAGGGAGGAGTGGGAGTTTTCTTGGTTCAGTGTGTGGCTGGGAGCATGCTGGGAAATAGTTCTCAGTTCAATCTGGGCAAATGTGTTTGGGAACACTCCAGGCAGTGTCTATTCTAAGCAATTAAAATATCTCTGTTCTTGATTTTATGAACACTTGGAAATGTAGCCAGCATATTAATATTTCTTTAAAAAATTAATTTATACCGTTTTCCAAAGTTCAGTGATAACTTGCCCCATGAGACATCCTTTTCATCATATGAGAAAAAAGGTCTCATTTGAAATACAATTTTTGATGTTTTAGTTGTTTACTGAAAATTTTTTTTCAGTTCTATACTGATATTATTTCAAAATGTCTTAAATTCTTGTAACTCAAAAACTAAATGTTTCAGCATTACTACAAATACTTTAAGAGATTTGTTTTATTATGTTTTACAGCAAAATAATTGGAGACTTATTTAACAAGATATGTTCTCTAATTCAAGTTTAAACCATATTTATTAGAAGCCTTAAAAGATGTTACTTCCCTTTGATCCATTAAATTTAAGTTTTTCTGATTCTAAGAAAATAAAGAAGCACCCAGAGTTATTTATCACAACATATATACAATAACCAAAGTAATTGAAAACAAACTACTGAAAATGGACATGTGATTTTAAAGAGTGTATTTTTATGTGGAATACTATTATGTCATTATAAATCACATTTCTTATATAAAATTTAATAACATGGTAAAAAATGCTAAGAATAAAATTTTTAATAAAAACTTAAGTAGACTATGAATCTAATGTCATTATTATAAATATAGGAATTTTATTTCATTCCAAATCAGAATGAAATAATATAATACTAATGTTGATCATCTCTAATTGGTGGGTTATCAGTCCATTATATTAACTTTTTAATATATTTTCTCTAATATCTATATTTTCTCCAATAAACATCAATTGTTCTCAGAAGTCAAAAACAATATGCTACAAAACAATTGAGGATAAAATGATATTTCTGAAAAGTATGATGCTTAACAATGTTACAAATGGAAATTAAATAGCATATCAATTTAAAAATTCTAATTTCCTTACTTAGAAACATGTACAGCCAATTTCTTAAAAGTTTCACCTTAAATAATAAGCTTCAACAGAATTTCAATTGCATTTACATACAAATGGAGCATTTTATAATCAGGTGCAGAAATTTGGAGGTTGTGTCTATAATGTTTAATTATTTGAAAATATTCATAACTCATTTTGAACAAATTCCGCACCATCTATGTAATTTTAAAACTATTTTTCAACCTGGGTAAATAATTGGATAGATAAGTAGATAAATGATTGGAAAATAGATAGATACGTAGATAGATAGATAGATAGATAGATAGATAGATAGATAGATAGGTAGATAGATAAAAAGTATTGTCCCTTAAAACTATTGCTAGCTATCAGGTAACAACATATTCCTTTTTCTCAATAAAGGAATAGATTGAATAAATAAATAAATCATCACTTTATTCCCAAATAATCTACATACACCATACTTTTACAAAATAAGTGGCTAAAAAGTAATTTTTAGATTTTTGTACCTTTTGATGGGCTTGTAGATATCTAAAAATTTCCGGTAAAGGCAAATCCATCATCTTAAGATACAAAAGATAAAACATGGCTCTGTATTCTTAGGGCGAAAATGGAGCCTAAGAAATTCTGATTCATAGAGCACTGTACTCACTTTAATTAGGAGCCTAGAACTGAGCTGGAAAGGAATAGATTCTATTGTTTGGTGGATCCCAAAAGTGAGATAGATAAAGATCTGAGTACTAGATCTAAATAGACACATAGAAATAAGATACCCTTGGACATATCTAAAACATATTTTGCTGATTTTATTCCCTGAAATTCACAAATAGACTTGCTGTGAGAGCCACATGGTACCAAGTAAAAGGCATTTGAGTCAATGGTATGTTGCTCCTGGGTAGCTTCACCCAACTGACTTTTTATTATATATCAATTCCTAGTGTGGCTGTACCACTATCATGCGAACTGAGTGGAAATCTACCTTTAATTATACTGCAGTGAATGCTGGTGCACATTTTTCATCAATAGAAGCATTATAGTGCAGAATGAAAGGAAAAAAAGGACCGGGGGAGAGTTTTATGATGTTAGATATTGACTTATTCTTTAGAAAGCAAAAGGGACATTTTAATTTATAATCACACTCCAGGACACCATTTCCATTCTAGTTTCTACAATATTTTTGAGCCTTTTAAAATGTTCTATGCCTTTTTCAGGGAAGATGAATAAAACATGTTGTGTGTATGTGTGTATAATAATTTTTTAAAATTCCAAAAAGGCAATAAAGTTTTAGTAACTTTGTTGGATAAAATGGAGGCAAAAGGTGCCAATGAGAACCAGACTGTGTTTCAAAAGCTTCAGTTTACTGTACAAATAAATCGAAGAGAAAAAAAAATCAGATATCACTAGTTGATACTAAGAGAATAAAAATGAATTATGAAAGAATAGCAAAGAACATAGCCCAGGAACTCCAAAAATAATATATGCATGTAGTTGAAGATGTTTCTAAGACAAGAACAGGGAGGACATAGAAGCAAATTAACTTTGCTGAAAAGCCAGTATATTTCTCAGTTAACAGATAATATTGTATCTACTTAACATGTACAGAATGATGTCCTGAAGTACATATACAATGTGGTCCTTTACCTTTCATTTAAGTGTAAGGGCTGACACTTCATGTAAGGTTGAAACTTTTGTAGTGGATAAATGAGTAATTGGTAAATTTAAGCAATATGGATTTACATAGTAGAGATATATCTAAGTCAACTTTAGATGTTTTTGCAATTGCGTGTCTAATTTTGTTTCAAATAGTTAACAAAATAAATAGTGTTGGCATGAAACAATCAGGGATGATGTACCTTCATAATCAGAAAAAACACAAAGCAGTCATTGGTTTGGAACCTTCCCCACACCACTTCCCACTCCCCCCATTAACCTCATGTTGAGAATTACCAGGGATAATTAACTTGACCAGGAAATTCAGACTGTGAGATAGTATCATTGCCCAGCATCTACCTCCCTCACCTTTTAATTTTTAAGTAATTTGGGAAGAATGTAGGCTCATTAGGTTATCTGTTGCTTGGTTGTAACTAGATGTGGAAATCAGCCTTCTTGGGGGAGGGATTCTGCAGATTCTGTGAGCCTCTGAAAGTGACTTGGGATCAGCTGAAAGAATGACTCCTTTGGAAACTCAGTATCATGTTTAGCCACATATATTTCTTAGTCTCTTTCCTTTCTTCATCAAGGTTTTTCACAAGAAAATTTTGGGAGAGTCATTCAACATGCATAGAAAGTAATTACCTTTGGTAAACATGGTATCAGGAAATAATTATGGATATGGCCCCATCTGCAATCATGACTACATTTTCTGACTTATTTTATTCTGATATATTTCCCTTGAGGCTTTTCTAACCTGAGCTCAGACCCTACTTCTGGGAACTGAAATTCTGTGCTATTTCTGAGTCCTCTTTCTTCTCTCCAGTCAGTGCTTTTTTCCTTTCATTCATTCTCTACGATTCAATTTTATAATTACAGTTGTGCCTAGATTCTTACTGTAGCGCTTGGTAGACTCTGATGTTTTCTGAAAGATACTGATGACCTGCCTAGATGTCTGTTCTCTCTACAATCACTTCTAGTCTTTCTTCTAGCACTTCCAGGCTTTCTGAGTGTCTTTCCGAGATTGAATCTCTATTGCTGAACCTCTGTCCAGAGGCCGAGATCTTGCTACCCCTAGACGTACAACCTGCTGCCTGTTCCCTGCCTGGATATTGGAGTACTGCTCACCTCCAATTTCCCAGGATTCTCTCCTTCCCTCATTCCAATCCTCTGCTATTTTATTTTTAACCCTGACATGGTTGACTTGATTATTTTAGGTCATAACTTCCTCTTGCCTATGAATATTGCTTACCCTTTTGGGCATGAATTTTAACTACCTCCCAATCTCAACTGCTGCTATCAATCCTTGTGCACACCTGTGCCAAATCTCAGCCACCCCTGTATTCTTTGTCATCAAATTCCTATTGCTTCTTGGAATGCAAATCTAACATATAGTGGATTGGGGAAAACTACAAGCAGAAAACTAGTAAAGTTCACATAGTCCCCTAAGATCTTAGCTTTGGTTGAGCACAGCTTGTCAGCTAACCCCATGGCCAAGATCCTAGGATCGAGAGACCTGCATCTGTAATGCTGTACATAATTTTATGGGCAGGGGCCAGAAAAGTTGTCCTGTTAGGAAAGGAGAGCCTCTGGAGCTCATTGGTAGTTATCAGGCAACTTCTCTTTTGTGCTCCCTCAGATCTGCTGAGCTAGCTCCTTGCTGTACTGCTATAAAGGCTGGCGAGAATGAGACTCCGGGGCCATCCAGATATGCCTCTTATCTACTGCTAAGATTATGATGACAACTGTGATAATAGATAATAACTATTGAATGCTTACACTATACCTGTCACTGTGCTAAAGCCTTTGCATTAATTATCTTGCTATGGCTCCAATAACCTCGTAAGTTAGGTCCTGCATTATTGAGAAACCTTTCTATCTCATTTATACAAATGGTAAAGTCATTCTTCTGGTGACACGAGTTCAAAACTTTGAGAAAAATCAAATTTTGCCTTTTATCTTTTCCTGACACATGCGAAGATTTAACAATCACCACCCTTCTTTTAAAGTGCCTCATTCATCCATTATCTCTTTACCCTAATTCAAAAATTCATACCTTGAAAAACTAATCAAGGGCATCTTATTGCCTAAAAGAATGTTTATCTTCAATTGCTGACCTATTTGTTAGGGTATAGGCGTTATGAGCATGGACTCTGGAGCCAGATTGCCTACTGGCTATCATGGATTGAGTTCTTTCTCTGTTTCAGTCACTGTTGAAACAAACATAATGTACACAACGGTTTTAAGCCATTTAATGCTTGGAACAACTCCACAAGATGAAGGACATTATCATCTGCATTTCATAGATTAAAAAAAAACACAGGAATAGACATGAGTAACTCACCAGGGCCCCTTTCAGCTAGTGAATAGAAGAGCTTTAAAAATTGCCCAGAGCATTTGAGTCTAAAGTCACTAACCTTGGCCACTACCTCTCATATTCATGAAACACTTTGGTGTTACATGATCACACAGGATCAGGTACTGTGGAATATGACACATCTGAAATATTTGTTGAAGGCAGAACCTGACATCAATGATGTCCTTATCATGTCCATTGGGGTTCTCACAGGAGCATTTTAAGTAATCTCCCTTATGTTTCTAATTCTGTCTCCCATATTATCCAAGTTTCTATTTCTACAATACAAGGAAGATAATTCAATAGTTTCCCATTACTAAAGAATAAGTCCTGAGACTTTGCTGAAGTTGCCTATCAGCTTAAGGAGATTTTGGGCTGAGATGATGGGGTTTTCTAGATACACAATCATGTCATCTGCGAACAGTGACAATTTGACTTCCTCTTTTCCTAATTGAATACCCTTTATTTCCTTCTCCTGCCTGATTGCCCTGGCCAGAACTTCCAACACTGTGTTGAATAGGAGTGGTGAGAGAGGGTATCCCTGTCTTGTGCCAGTTTTCAAAGGGAACGCTTCCAGTTTTTGCCCATTCAGTATGTTATTGGCTGTGGGTTTGTCATAGACAGCTCTTATTATTTTGAGATATGTCCCATCAATACCTAATTTATTGAGAGTTTTTAGCATGAAGTGTTGTTGAATTTTGTCAAAGGCCTTTTCTGCATCTATTGAGATAATCATGTGGTTTTTGTCATTGGTTCTGTTTATATGCTGGATTATGTTTATTGATTTTCTTATATTGAACCAGCCTTGCATCCCAGGGATGAAGCCCACTTGATCATGGTGGATAAGCTTCTTGATGTGCTGCTGGATTCAGTTTGCCAGTATTTTATTGAGGATTTTTGCATCAAAGTTCATCAGGGATATTGGTCTAAAATTCTCTTTTTTTGTTGTGTCTCTGCCAGGCTTTGGTATCAGGATGATGCTGGCCTCATAAAATGAGTTAGGGAGGATTCCCTCTTTTTCTATTGATTCGAATAGTTTCAGAAGGAATGGCACCAGCTCCTCCTAATGGGTGCAGCACACCAACATGGCACATGTATACATATGTAACTAACCTGCATGTTGTGCACATGTACCCTAAAACTTAAAGTATAATTAAACAAAAAAAGAATAAGTCCTGATTTCTTAGCATGCCACACAAGAACATGCACAAACTATGCTCCACTGGAGCATTTGGCCTCATTTCTCCTACTTTGCGTCATATTGACTACTTTCCACTCCCTGACAAGGATTTCCTTCTCTATATTCCATCCTAGCAAACTGCCATTTATCATTTATTGCCCAATTTTAGTATACTTTCCTTCCCCAAACCCCAGGAAACAATCTACCATCCTCTAGTATAGTGCCTTGTATCTTGAATAACAATTATTTTTTGTTACATATTAAATCACATACTCCTCTACTATTATGTCTCCCTCATATCTGTACTCCTAACGCCACTCATGTGTCAGGAAATAGGTAATCAATACTTTCATCTTTGCTTTTTTGGTTTGATTCACACCTAGACTGTTGCAGTTTCCTTGCTCTTCTCTCTGCCTCCTGCCTCTCTAAACAAGTCCATTCCACACATTTCCTCCTGATTACAATTTCAAAATGACTGCTTCCATTGAGTCATGTTCCCATTCAACAATCTTTCATGAACCCCCAAGTTTTAAAGATGGTCTCACATGTCCTCTACAAAAAGCCTGAATACTAATTCCATGGCGATCTCAAATCCTTTACAAATTTTAAATTATTGTTTACATTTGTTTGACATGATTTATTATATTGTTAAGATATTTGATACTCTGTTCAAAAATGCTTCATCTTCTAAATTTTTTTAAGAACAACAATCCCACTTTTCCTTTGTCTGTCCACCTCTGAGTTTAGCACAATGTCTTACTTATGGCATGTTTCTAGATATCCAGTTGATTGATTTTTTTAATGTACTGATACCAAGATGTTATAAACTATAACTTTACAATTCTGTTATCTTCATCAGTTTATATAAACCAAATTCATTATAAAAGAAGAGTAGCAAATATCTCAAAGGAAATAATTGCTTCACTGTGGGAGGCTAATGTGTGTGAAATTGATCAGGAATTAAATTTTAATTTGATACTTTTATAATAAGAGATTTTTTTTAAAGATATTAAAGCCTAGAGATGTACTGGGTAAACTATTTCAGGAGTAAAATGAAAGCGTGTATACATTTGCCAGAAAATGTATTCTCAGGAGCATGACGTGAAGTAAAGCCTTGAAATTAGTCATATTCCCTTTGTATTTATTTTTTTCACACAGAATACAAAATATAAATGTGCATGATTAAAACTAATTTAGTTTTATTCTTTTCTTCAGGCTTGGGAATGCATTTGACACGATTAACTCCAGGGAAAAACAAGAGAATAAATTTTTTTTGTACCTTCTACTTGAGATCTCAGATCTCTAGTCAGTTCTACACGATTAAAACAGAGACTGTCCCTTTATTGTGGGAGTCTAGTCTGACTTGCTTTGTTAAGTGAAATGGCATCTATTGATGATCAAATCATGTTGTCTCTGAAGTATTTTATTTGAAAACTCCAAGCAATAAGATTACTGTTTAGAAAACCAAACAGAAAAACATAAACTTTAGAGTAACTTTATACGAGACATTACGTGTGGACACGGAGAAGTAAATTTCACCCCCACCATACTTCCATCCTGACCCCAGCACCTTTATCTTGGGTTCACGTAAGACCATACAGCATACACATACTACACTTCCAGCACACTTTGTTCAGCTATGGTTGACAGAATAGAGCTAACACATTCTCCACTTTTACCACGTATTCTTTATAATGCAATATTCTATAGGGAAATGTGAAATCTGGATCACATGTAGATCTATTGGCAGGTACGTTTCTAATCTTTTTCTCTCCAAAATCTACTGTATCCTATTTCATGCAGGATAATCAGTGTCATCGGCATACATAGCAAATGGTTTGTTCATAAAAAAGCTTGATGAGGGAAATAAACCCTTGATAGTCTCTATAGGAATTATTTCCATTAGGAAACTGAAAGAAAAAGAGGGTGTTCTATATGTATTGTTTTACTGCCCATAGCAGTTTTGTAATACACAATAAGTTTATTACATAGAATAGCCAATAGGCATCAATATTGAAAAATAGAGAATGTGAGCTGTATTCCTGTACATGCGTGCATTCTCAGCAATGTTGTGTGGCTGATCGGTATTGTGTGAGTGCGTGGGTGTGTGCAGGAGTACATGCATGCTTTTTAAAAAATCCTCTAATCTTTGATGAAGTAAAAAACGTTAAAATTCAATAATTCTAATTGAGTGCTATAATGTCTCCATTTGCCACGTTTGAATGATTTAGAATAGAAAAGATTAAATCAGTAAGATGATATGACATTAGACAAGTCAGAATTATAGCTCATCTAAAACTTGTATTAAGTGTTTGATTTCTTTCATTCCTCTTCTCAAACATTTGCATATTAACTGTTAAGCAACAAAATACAGCAATTCCTACCATTTCTAATTTCCTTTTGTTCTCTTAATAAAACCATGACAAATAATGCAGGCAAGTAAGGAGAAGAAATATTCAGTGAAGAATCCTCAAAATCGGTGGTTCTCAGCTAGGAGTGATTTTGACCCCCAGGGGATATTTGGCAATACCTGGAGACATTGTTGGTTGTCACAGCTGGAGAGTGGGGGGTAGGATGCTACTGGCACACAATGAATAGAGGCCAAAAATCCTACTGAATATCCTGCAAAGCACAGGACAATACCTACCCACCTGCACCTCCCACCAAACAAAGGTTTATTTGTCACCAAATGTCAATAGCATGCAGGTTGACCACCCTGACCTGAAGGAGCTCCTCTGTTGCACTCTGGAAGTTGAGTGCCCCAGAGGGAGAAGCCTAGACCTCCCACCCACCCCACTCCACGGACTTCCATTTTCTCCCATACTGAATAACAAGTTAACACGTTTAGACAAGCTGATTCCTGTAGTCCCTTTTAGGTTTGTTTAGAGCTTTTCTCCTGTTTTATCATTTTGCTCTATGTTGTTATGGTTTCCTGTTTTCCTTTCCCAACATACATATTTAGAAAAATTCCAGACTCCTTTCTTTGATTTCACTTTTGCTTTCTTTGTGGAAATTTTGTATTTCAAAGCAATGAAGAGACGTTGTCAATTCCTCTTGGGTATGGTCAGAATAAAGTATAAGATAAGAGAGTTCTCCCGGTACACACTTTATGTACTATTCTAAGGCATATTTTGTTATTTGTTTTCTACAGATGTCAAGCTCTATTTTTCTAAATATTTGACTCTCTAGTACACTGCATCACTATGACTTGTTCCTACCATTTTTATCATTAGTAGATGCAAACATAAATTATGCAACTTTGTGTGAGCTTGACATGAGGCAGCAGATAATTATCGCACTGGTCAACATAACAGATTGCCAATATTAGGTTCAGGTGTTATGAAAATTTAATTATATTACAGCATGAGAAAAAAATTGAGCGGGGAAAGGAGCCTTAACTAGCCTGTGTTAGCCTGCAAAGTGTGTTCTAGGGGCTCATTCTGCACTTTCTTGTTCTTCCGTCTCTCTCCTCTGCTCACCTTCTCAGTCTGCCATGCCCTGCTCTGAAGAGGCACCCATCATTTGCCCCAGCAAGCCACCTAGCCTGTGGAGCAGAGTGACAAACAGCTCCACTTTGCTTAGCTCTGGGAGGAGGCCATGGTCCTGACCCAGGGGTCCGTGGGGACCACAGGCTATGACCTGGACAGTCCCTACAACTATAAAATGCCACCAATGGAGGAAGCTCTTGTGAAAACAGACATTCAGATAGCTCTTCTGGGTGTTATAAACGAGTAACTCCTTGTTCTGGCTTGGATGCAAAACAGATTATAAATGTATGGCTAGTATCATACTTGAAGATTATAGAGGAAATGTTGCTGTTCTACTGTTTAATTTAGGCAAGGAAAGTTTGAAGTAAAAAAGAAAAAGTGATCCAGTTGCACAGCTCATTTGTGAACAGATTTTTTATCTAAATATAGAAGAAGTTTAAATTTTGAATAACACTGAAGTGGGTTCAGGAGGTTTGGCTTTCATCGGAAACAATTAAAATGTATGCCAAGAATAGAAGATGAGAAATCGTACCTTTTTCTTAAAAATAAAGAGTTTTTGCTTAAAGTGCTTTAGTGTTTTGCAATTCTGTCAACTTATTAGCTTTACTTTCTAAAAAATAAATTTTCTTATGATCAAGGAAAGAGTACTTCTGCTGGGATCACATAGAAGCTTAATTTCTTGTTTTCCCACAATTGATGATTGTATGTGTATTAGTCCATTTTCACACTGCTGTGAAGAAATATCAGAGACTGGGTAATTCATAAAGAAAAGAGGTTTAATTGACTCACAGTTCTACATGACTGGGGAGGCCTCGGGAAACTTACAATCATGGCAGAAGCGAAGGGGAAGCAAACTTGGAACTTTTCACATGGCAGCAGAAGAAAGAGAGTGAGTAGCGAAGGGGAAAGACCCCCTTATAAAACCATCATATCTCATGAGAATTCACTCACTATCACCAGAACAGCATGAGGGAAACTGCCCCATGATCCAATAACCTCCCACCAGGTCTCTCCCTAGACACTTGGGAATTATAGGGATTACAATTCAAGATGAGATTTGGGTGGAGATACAACCAAACCATATCAGTATATAAATCTGCTTTGTGGTGACCTAATGCAAACAGTTTCTTTTTAAAATCAAATGTACATCAACTACTTACACAAAAAACCTCTATTATTTAATTCAATAAATGATTCCTTTTCAGCAAAAAAAACAAAAACAAAGTGTGTCCCTTAGAGCTCTAAGTGGGAGAGAGCTGAAGGCATGATAGAGCAAGGAGAGTGAGCACTGAACACCTTTGTCCTTCCACGGCTCAGCATCCTCTGCGTGGACTGTGGTCAGGATGATTTTGCATCTTCTTTCAGTAGTCAGCTTAGAAGTTCCTCCTCCTCATCATGTGTTCCTCCTTTCTATTACCAGCTCCCAAGTGGGCCTCTTGTTTTGCTACTGATAACACCTGACATGCTACTGCCTTTCTATAGTAGCCGAACAGAGGAGAACAATCTTTCTTCCTCTACCTTTACTAACTTGCTCTTTGATCGCTACAAAAAAAAGTACCCAGTATCCTGTGAGAGTAATAAATGAGATGAAAAAATTATATAATGAGAGAAAAAAAGTAACAGTCCTCCATGACTATCATCTCATCTCTGTGATTTTATTCATACGTGAATATTGCAAACACACACACACCCCACAGAGTCTTTCATTTTGGGTACATAATATATTAAGCACTGAGGGTATAAACAGAGTGCCCTCACTGTATAGATAAATACATAAAACATTATAGATTAGAAAAAAGCTATAAAGAAATCATGCAACATTATATGGTAAAAAGTGGTGGGGGCCGGGCGCGGTGGCTCACGCCTGTAATCCCAGCACTTTGGGAGGCCGAGGCGGGCGGATCATGAGGTCAGGAGATCGAGACCATCCCGGCTAAAACGGTGAAACCCCGTCTCTACTAAAAATACAAAAAAATAGCCGGGCGTAGTGGCGGGCGCCTGTAGTCCCAGCTACTTGGGAGGCTGAGGCAGGAGAATGGCGTGAACCCGGGAGGCGGAGCTTGCAGTGAGCCGAGATCCCGCCACTGCACTCCAGCCTGGGCGACAGAGCGAGACTCCGTCTCAAAAAAAAAAAAAAAAAAAGTGGTGGGTATTCAATTTAGACTCAGACAGAAAAGATAAGAAAAAGTCACGCTTGGATAGGAAAAACCTAAAATACAGAAGTCCTATGACTTGTAAATGTGTCCAGAATTGGTTCCTTCCAGTGGGTTTTTGGTCTCGCTGACTTCGAGAATGAAGCTGCGGACCCTCACAGTGATTGTTACAGTTCTTAAAGATGGCGTGTCCAGAGTTTGTTCCTTCTGATGTTCAGATGTGTCCGAAGTTTCTTCCTTCCTGTGGGTTCGTGGTCTCACTGACTTCAGGAGTGAAGCCACAGACCTTCACAGTGAGTGTTACAGCTGTTAAAGGTGGCACATCTGGAGTTGTTTATTCCTCCTGGAGGGTTCATGGTCTCACTGACTTCGGGAGTGAAGCCGCAAACCTTTGCAGTGAGTGTTACAGCTCTTAAAGCTGGTGCATCCAGAGTTGTTTGTTCCTCCAGGTGGGTTCATGGTCTCACTGACTTCAGGAATGAAGCCGCAGACCCTTGTGGTGGGTGTTACAGCTCATAAAGGTAGCACAGACACAAAGAGTGAGCAGCAGCAAGATTTATTGTGAAGAGCGAAAGAACACATCTTCCACAGCATGGAAGGGGACGAGCAAGTTGCCGCTGCTGGCTGGGGTGGCTGCTGGCTGGGGTGGCTAGCTCTTATTCCGTTATTTGACCCCGCACACATCCTGCTGATTAGTCCATTTTACAGAGAGCTGATTGGTCCATTTTATAGAGTGCTGATTGGCCCATTTTATGGAGTGCTGATTGGTGCATTTACAAGCCTTTAGCTAGACACAGAGTGCTGATTGGTGCATTTTTACAGAGTTCTGATTGATGCATTTACAATCCTTTAGCTAGACACAGAGTGCTGATTGGTGTGTTTTTACAGAGCGCTGATTGGTGTGTTTACAATCCTCTAGCTAGACACAGAATGCTGACTGGTGCATTTACAATCTTCTAGCTAGACAGAAAAGTTCCCCAAGTCCCCACTCGACCCAGGAAGTCCAGCTGGCTTCACCTCTCATAAACATATCACTATTCAATGAATACAAAAAAGGGCAAAAAGAAAGAAATTAGTTTGGAGAGGTAGGTAGAGGCCAGATTATGGAAGGTATAATAAACTATGGTAAGAAATTAGAATGCAAGCCCACTGGAGGATTTCTTTTAAGGGAATTGAATGATATGATTTTTAAAAGATAGCTCTATCTACTATGTGGATAGTGGATAGATAGATGGATGGATAGATAGGTAGATAGATCTCTATCTACTGTGTGGATAGTGGATAGGTACATGGATGGATGGATAGATAGATACATAGATAGAACAGAAGGTTATACAGATTATGGAGTGGGAGGTGAGAACAGGGAAAATGAGATAAGGTGGAAAGCATTGCATAATCCAGGAGTAAGTAATCGTAGTTTTATCTATGATGATAGCCATGTATATGAAGAGAAGTTGGAGGATGTGAGAAATAGTTAAAAGATATAACTATCACAACTTGGCAATAGGTCTATGCAGAGTGTGAAAGAAAGGTAGGAATCAAGACTGAATTGTAGGTTCCTCACTTTATTTATAGGTAACAGTCCCTTTAGCTGATATGGAAAAGAATGCAAAGAGTTTGGAGAGAATCCAGTCCTGTTGTGGACGTGTCACGTTTTAGATGTCTGCTACCTATTTAGGAGGACAAGGCAAGTTGTCAGTTAGGGATGTGAGTCTGGAGCTCAGAGAAGAGTCAAGGCTTATGTTATCAGCATGAGGATGGCATTGGTATTGGAAGCCATAGATTATTTACTAAGTAAGAACAGATAAACAGAGAAGAGGAAAGAATTCCAAGCCAAGCCTCCAGGAGCTTCATCTTTCAAAATTTGGTAAGAGGAGGAAAAGCCAGCAAAAAGACAGAGAATGGGCAATCAGATAAGAAGAACTCAAAGAGTACTGAAAGGAACAGGAGCACGTCTTAAGAACAGTATTGTAATTTTGTTAAAAGAAAAAATGTAGAGTAGAGTATAGTTCAGAAGTACAAAGAAGATAATAGAAAAAAAAGTAATAAACCTAAGCAGGCAACTACATAATAGGAAATTCACAACTTAGATCTTGACTAAGTGCAAGGCAGAATTGTAAGTAGTCTAAGAATTATTTTCCAACATCTACTGCTTACTAATTTTATGGAAGGCTTAGACAGGAAAGATACTAATTTCACTAGATAGAGAAAACCTAGGCTAATGCTCTTTGAAAACTGAAAAATATTGTTATATACGTATGAATTATGAATGTTGATTTATTGTCTACTCCTTGTTCAACCCCTTCCTCCCCACTCCTTATGAGAAATCTGCTCAAAATGGTGAAAGTACAAAAAACAGAACAAGACGACAACAGAGTAGGTAAGTAATCACACTGTATAATAAAGAAAATAAACTGGAACTACTTGGAATGACTATTGAGGGGAGATGGAAGGATCAGACAAAACCCCAAAAGAAACCCAAAGGACTATAAAGAAATAGAATATCAGCCAAGGGATGTTTTTAATGAAAACCAAGAAACAGAAAGCTCAGAACTAACATCGGCTAAGGGGCAGTCTGTGGCAACTAAGAGGTGCTTGATGTATTTTAATTCACAAAATTGTCCCAACACATTGTGAAATGCATATGATCAACCTTTTGTAAAGAGAAGGCCAAAGCTTAAAAGGTCACACAAATTCTCATAGTTTTATCTGTGATGATAGCCATGGATATGTGAGAGTATCCAAGTTTTACAGAGGCCGAGTTGGTACTTGAAATGAATTTGGCTTTATTTTTAAACTCCTATACTTTCTAGTACCCTAGGCTAGTGAAAAACAATGAAGTGGCAAATGTTCCAAAGCCAGGGAAAATGTTAAGTAAACCCAACGCTAAGAGGGAACTGGTGTAACGGGAATGATAAACATGAGTATAATTACTCTTTTGTAATGTTAGGCTGTGAAAAAAGTGAGAAATAGGCCGACAAAATGATAGTAAAGTCACATATATCTAGCATGCAAACTATTGAATAAAACAAATAGCCAAATATAACTAAATATAAACTATAATTTTTTTCAGCTAATCCCTAGAAATAACTTAAAGATGACAATGCAAATATTCACATCTTGTTTGGGCAATTCAGGCAAAAGTCTAATTTAATGGCCTTAAGTTTAGTGTTTCCATTCTTCACTTTCACCTGTGTAAACATAATTGTTTTGTTTCTTTGCCAATAATTTTATGGAAAGCTTTTTCTAAAGGGTAAAAACAAAACTAAAAAAAAAATCATGTACACATAAAACATAATTTTTATTTAACATGTATTTGGCAGTCTGTTTTGTTTGCAAATCCAAAAAAGGATAGTTCCTTTTAGGGATTTTTTTAATGTGTTACTCCAACATGTTTTCACTGCTCCTGAGCAGTTACAAACACAGCACAGAGCTGGGAAGAGCAGCTGGGTCTATCTTTGGCTTTCATGCACTAATGTGGAAATGGAACTGTCTTTGGGAAGCCTTCCTTGTTAATTGCTAAGATTGGATGTACTTTTGCATCCAAATTCATTTTCCCTGATCTAGTTATGGAAAAAAATGTGCTATCTTGTACTTTACCAATGGAAAATGGTGGAAAGCATCATGTCTTCTGCCCCCAAATGTGTATTTTGAATTTGATAATTACAGCAATGCTGACATAGCCAATACCCAGCCTAAGCAGTTTATAGCAAAGACAATGACTCATGTACATAGGGGATTAAATCTGCTTCTGGAAACTACATAATTATCTAGTCGTATTCAAAAATGTTATAGTCAGAAAAGCACCTAATGATTCATTGGTTCTGTTCTCTGCCTTCTGCTTGCTTAAATAACTAAAATATATTGAGTAATAAATTAGGAGCAGTAGGTTGTGGTGGTTAATTACATAGACTCTAGAACCTGAATGCCTGGGTTCAAATCTACCACATACTTAAATGCCTATGAATTATACTTAATCTGTGTGTGCCACAGGCTTTTCCTTTGTAAAATGGTATAATGGGGATAAAAATAGTATCTGAATTCCTAGGCTAGCTATAAGAATTAAGTGTGAAATGATTAGGAGGGTAAGTGGCTCTTACAAGTATTAGACTTCTTGTTGTTATTATGTTATTGGTACTGATCTTGGTAGTACGAAAACAAAAAGGACAATAATCAATACCTCAAGTAATGTGTTTACAGTATAGTTGAGGAGATAACTGCATAAAGGAACATTTAGCTTATCATATGTGTTTAAAAACATTATTAGATTTGATGGTAAAATAACCAGTTTAGAATGCCTTCTTATTAGACAAATATATACTGTAAACATTGTGTTTAAATTATGCTTAAAGTCATAAAAAATTAGAATTAAAAGAAATCTTACAGATCAGAGTATTCACTGTATTATTTAAAATGGGGAAATTGAGGCTCAGATGTTCAGAGAACAGCCCAGGATTACACGGCTATGCACTGACATGACCCAAAGCATAGTAAGTCTGATGTTCATTCCTGAGCTTTTTCCATTGGTTCATGCTGGCTTTACAAACTGAGAACAAGGAGGTCAGTGTGGATCAGAGTAGAGCTCTGGAGTACTTTTACAATTCAGCTGGGTGAGGGAGGAAAGGCATTTAGGAAGAAAATCATAAAGATAGGTATGCTACCGTCTCCTCTGTTAAAAAAAAAATTAGGACATCATTTGAGGGAAGCAGAGACTTTTCATGGAGAATGAGTGGTTACATAAGTTTCTACACTCATGTAACAAATATTTACTAAACATTTTCTCTATAGTAAGCCTACTGTGTTCTGGGCATATAATATAAATTGGGGAACAAAAAGCTTTCTGAACTATAGAGAGCTTAAACTGTTGTAGAAGTAGCAAACATAGCTTATAATTGTTATATATAAATAAAGTATATAGAAATGATATAGAATGTTAGAAGATGACAAGTGAAAATACCGTGAAAAAGAAAGGAGGAGAATAAGAGGGATTTGGAGTGTAGGTGGAGAGGGCCCTCAACAGTGCAAAACACATCAGCATAAACCTTATAACAAAGGTGATAAACCCATTTCAAACAGATGAGGGAGTTAGTTAAGTAGATATCTGGGGGAAAAACATTCCAGGCAGAGAGAAAAGCCAAAGCTAAGGCCCAAGGATAGGAGCCTGACTTAAGTGTTTGAAGTACAGTAAAGAGTAAATGTTTCCTGAACAAAAGTGAATGACGAGAGAGTAGTAACAGAAGAAACATAATGCAGTGAACAGCGCATGTAAGGCTGAGCACACAAAAGTCCACCTTGAAAACGCTGACTTTCACTCTTCATGAAACTGGAAGCAACTAAAGTTTTGAGCATAGAAGTGACATAATCTGTTTCACATTGTAAAAGGTCATTCTGACTCTGTGCTAAAAGGTAGATTTTCAAATCCAGTAATAGAAACAGAGAGTTGCTAAATCCATTTGAGAGCTGATTGTGTGGTAGTAGAAGAAGAGTTGAAGTGCTGAGAAGTGGTTGGATTTGGAGTATAAGTTGAAGGCAATTTCCTGATGGACTGGATATACTGTCTAGGAGCTGTCAAGGATTGCTCTTTCAAGAAAGTCAAGGATTGCTCTTCCAAGAAAGTGCAGTGTGAGGAGGTAAAGAAATTACATCAAGGAGAAGATCTGATACTATTAAGATGCCCGCCCTCCCCCCACAAAAAAAAAGAAGAATAATTACCCACTAGATGTAATAACATTCATAATGGCATTGATAAGATAAAACAGTTTCTATGCATTGGTAAAGGTGAAACCTGGATAAAGTGGTTTTAATTGAAAACGAGAATAAGCAAGATCAGAGTAATTAGAGACAGAGTACAACCATCTCATGTGAGACGTTGGGCATAAAAGAAATGAGTAGCAGGATGGGAAATTTAGGATGATTATTTTTCAGTTAAAGAGAGTGTATGTTTGACAATGGAATGATCCAATAGGTTATACAAAATTATGGAGTGCTTTTAATCTTTTCTGAATTGAGTACTGTTTAAAGGAAGTATGGATTTTTACCTCAAATTTAAAAACATTTTAAACTTACTTGTTTATCATAAACAATTGTAGACACTGATAGATAATACTTGCTGACTTTTAAATCATCTTCCATTTTATATATTAATTTTGTGCACTCTAGTCTCTAAAAAATGACAGTCTGTCCTATTTCTCAGGAAAGGCATGGCAGCTGTCATTACCACTTCTCACAAATTGAAATGAAATGCACATAGCACACCAAAATGGAGAGTTCTGTTTTAAACTGCCACCCCCTAAAAGATACTGAACTGAAATCAGCAACTTCTAAAACTATCCTTGTCTCCAAGAAGGTTTCAAACTACTAATCATTGAATGTTTAAAATACTTGAAGTACAGGTAAATATTTCTCTGATATAGTTTCTGATAGAAAAAAAAAAGAAACAAAAACATATAGTTAGATTATGTCTTCGATTCATTATATATTGTTGTAATTAATAAGGGGCAAGTCAGGAAAGTGGAAATCACCCAGTTATTTCAACAGAGATAATTTAATAGAGAGAAATGGCTAAAAAGACATCGGCAGACTGAAAAGGCTCAAGAGGAACACTGGAGCACCACAGCTGTGAAGGTCTGAATGTTTCTCCCCACCACTCCCGCTCCCTGCCAAAAGTCATGTTGAAATCCTAACCGCGGAGGTGAGAGTATTTGGAGATAAGACTTTGCAAGGTGATTAGGTATGGAGGACAAAACCCTCATGAGTGATGTTAGTGCCCTTATAAAAGAGAGCTCAGAGAGATCCCTTGAGCCTTCTGCCATGTGAGGACACAGTGAGAAGACAGGCATCAACGAGGAAGTGGTCCCTCACCAGACACTGAACCTGCCAGTGCCTTGATCTGGACTTCTCAACCTTCCTAACTGTGAGAAATAAGTATCTGTTGTTTATAAGCCACCCACTCTATGCTATCTTGTTATAGTAGCCCAAACAAACCAAGACAGCAGGTAGCATAGTTACTGAAGGAACAAAGGGGAAGAGTTTGAACTATTAGAACATAGACATTTGGAGGAGGCCCCCTAGAGAACCGGTACCCAGACTTCTGCATAGCTGATATGAATGTTGGCAGGGATGTAATTAACAGAGTGCACTATTTACAATTAAAGATTTAATGCCCAATATAAATGGAAGACGAGCCATTGGTAAAGAATATTCATAGAGACAATATTGTACACAATTAAGCATAATATATGACATGTATTGTATTTTACCATGAATAACATGTTAATGCTTCTATTGGTGTATTCTACAATTTGTATGGGTGATAGCACATAGTATGTACTATGTAAAACTAAGCCTATGTAGTAGTAGTATATATATTAGTGGGGAAAGGTGCCCCTGAGAAGTTGATGTTGCCCAGCTTGTGCTAATACCCTAAGAAATTGGAAGAGGGACCCTGAGGAGCTTAGATCAGACCTCTGAGTACAGGTGCCTGCCATGTGTGCTAATATATCTCAGAGTGTGGGAAAAATCTGGAAATGGTAACCAAATGCTACTGATACCATTTAGTAGGTGCATGGATTAAAGGACCATTTTTGTGGCAACACTGGAAAGAATAGGAAATGCAACAGGAACAAGTCCCTACTTTTTCCTCACGCCTTACAGTCTTCCTCCAGTACTTGTATCATAGAGTGTAATGCAGAGCCAGCTGGTAAAGGAGAAAGGTAGATTTCGGAGCCTCATACCCAGCATCACAAAGCAAAATATAAGAGAAGTGATGAACTGAGAGACAATGGTTTGTTATTCAACTAAAATTGTCATATATGTGTTTGGTCCATTGATAGGTTAAAACTCTGTTGAATTGCCACTTTTGGTATTACACAAATTGATGACCCAAAAAAGATTTTAGGATCATTTGTGTGAATTCAGCACCTACCGTATATGTGGGAAATGTACTGAATAAACACAGAAAGATATGCTTTGTTCTCATTCTGACATTTAAATAAACCTCACAAAGGCTTTCCTTTGTTTGCCAGAGAAAAATCAATGCAAAATTGTCAAATATATTACAATGGTCTTTGCCCTTCTCTTAGGAATTCTCACCTGACTTCTCTTGCTTTTGCTGCATTGCATAAACCCTGCATATGCACACTGTGCCTTAAACCATTCAATGTGCTGTCATTGATGTCATCTCATCTGAGTCTTAAAAGAATTTTGAGAGGCAATGAGAAAAGGTACAGCTCTTCTAAGAGGGCAAACAAGGATATGTCAAGGACTGTCAAGGATATGGTAGAGAAGATTTTTTATTTGGGACAGATGACCTTTACAGTTCTTCCCCAACATTGAGCTTTAATAACTGGACTGACCATGGGTATGTCCTCATCATATTCTGTACCAAAAATGAAAGTAATTATGGCATCTTCCTAGAGGAGATTGTTACTTTTACCTTCACACTAGTATGGTTGCAAGCATATGTCACCTTTGATATCACACAACTCTGGTACCCTATATAGAGAATCACAAGAAAAGAAAATACTTGTGCTTGTTTACCCCCATATCCACATTTCTGCTTCATTAAAAATCCAGAAAGGTCAGAAAGCCTAAACTCACCTGGCTTCACTCTCCATTTGTCTCCAGGCATGGCTTTTTGATGCCCTGACAGTAGCCCAAGAAAACAGAATATTTTCAAGAAACTCAGCAGGAGTGACCTTCAGTTGTTGCCTCATTGGCATATATTTCTTGGTAACCAGGGAAAGCTCTCCATGACACCCTCCAGGTCCCCAAAATATACTGAATGCATGATGCCAGAAACATTCACATTAGAGCACTATTTCTTTCTATGGTGATAATGGGGGTTTTGACCTCTGTTGACATGCAAATATTTCTGAAAGAAGTTCCACATCTTCTTCCCTGAGATCCAATTTTGATGTGAATATTGTATAAGAAGTGATCAGGAGGAAGAGGCTACTTAAAAGAGAGGCAAATAAGATAGCCTGAATGGAAACAAATATAACTGTTTTTGCAAAGGCCAGTGCCTGCCCATAAATGTACTTTTTCAGAACAATTGTCAAGTTTCTTTTCATCCACCAGGGTTGAGGTGCTTCCTCAAAGACACTCTTGTGTAGTCAAGGCTCACCTTTATTTCCCTTATTGAACTCTGCTCGTTTCCTTTAACATCTATTTTAATACTGTGCAATGGTATTATATTTTTCTGTGTTTCCTTTTTAACTCTAGCACTAATATAAACTTTTTGAAAATTAGGCTTCCACATCCCTCATTTGTCATTGTTTTGCAAGATCCTAGCCCAGTGCCTGGCACAGATATATGTGCTTAATGCACTTGGCTAGATGGATGAACAAATGAATGAATAAATGGTATGAATAAGTTTCATATGCTTTTTAGTCCACCCAGATTCCAATGTACCATATTTATCAGAAATGATATAATAAATTATTAAACTTTAATTCAAAGGTTTATATTCTTATTGATGTTTTTATTATCAGTAATTCAATTAGTAGGACATAGTGGGATATTTTATTGATTTTTAAGGGATTTAATAATTTCACATTAAATCAGCAATAACAAAAACAATTTATATGCTTTTCATGTCCTTAAGAAGTAATAAAAACACTCAGCTAAATGACAATTTAATAAGGTGAAGTTTCATTTGCAAATCTCTCGTTTCTTTGAGTTCACTCTGACATTGTCTTCTGTTTCCCTGTTTCCCCAGTGACTTCTTATCTTTAGTTTAAAATGGAAAAGTGATTAAACATGTCAAAACAAATAACTCTACATTTTAGGTTTTCAAGTAAATTAAAATTTCATGGACCTCTTAAAAACAGACATATGGAAATATCTAATAATAACTACATGAACTGCTAATGGAGTAAGTTTCCACCAAGCTTAAAAAACACCTTTAATGTTTTTATAAAGCCATTTTGAATGATAGCTGAAAAAAATTAAGTTCAACTCATTCCTAATAATGCTATTTATGATAATAGTTCTTCAGTGACTTTATTCTGCACCATGGATTACATGCACAAAAGGAACACATATCGACTGTATTTGTGAAAAGGAACTACTTTTTTCACACTGCTAAGTTAAATCCCATCTTATTCAGCTGACCTGCGATTCAGCACAATTAACCTGTTCATTAGTTGCAAGTAAAATGGGACATCAAGTGATGGTTTAATGCAAGCATTACCACATCTGAAAAATAAATGTAGGTGTTTGTGTCTCAGAGTGATTTTTCTTCAATATCAAAAAGCACTGGAAACGCCTAAATCTAAAGCAAAACCTGAATGATGGAGTTTTCTGTCTCTATCATTTTCCCTTCCTATATGTGCCAGAATGAATTACGTTCTTGTTGAGCAACTACTAGAGGCCATGCACCAAGCAATACACTTAGAAGATAAGGAGAGGAATAAAACAGGCTCCCTGAGCAGAAAGAATTTATTCTCTAAAGGAGAAAACAGATCTCAAACAAAAAATTACAATACAGTGTAATAAAATCCATAAAACTGATGTATAAAAGTTGTTTTATGTATAAAGGAAAGAGTAACTTGCTTCCCTGAGGATTCAGTGGTTATTTGACAGAGGAAGTAACATTTGATCTGAGACATAAGGGAAAGGTCAGGGTTCTTGATTTGGGCAAGAGGATGAGTCAGTCTAAACAGGCAAAGGGAACAGCATTGACAAGGTATGAAACTGCACAACATCTTCGGGCAATTTTAGAGGTTTCTGAAGCATGTGGGCCATAAGGAAAAAGAGCAGAAAGGGCTTACATGAATTCAAATTGGGAAGTCATGTGTATCTTTTAGGGGATTCAGATTTTATTCTATCGAGATCTATTAGAAGTATATAGGTAAGAGAATCATATGATCGAATTTGCATTTCAGAAATACGATTATTCTGGCATTCTTAACTTTTATGTTTTTAATTTTTAAAAGATAATATGCATTATTAACATATCTACACCTGAGATTAGAGTTGAACTAAAATAAAATTAGGTGAATCATGTATTTGGAAAGTCAGATATACCTATTTATCTTTGATGTTCAGATATTGTTTGATTTGGATGCAATCTTTTAAGAAATAACTTTTTAAAACATATAACCAACTCTATTCATTTTTAAACACAGATTAAATGCATCAGTCTTCATATTAATATTTTAAATATGCGGAACAAGGTAAAGTAGTCTCATCTCGTTTTAGTCAACCATATGTTCTGAAGGCCAGAATCACTGCATGGTCTACAAATAATTTTTCCATACTTATGAATTCTCTTATGTAATATGACTTACCCAGGTGTACAAATAAATTCCAATTAATGATGTATCTAATAGACTGTCATCATTTTGAGTCATCTAACCCTATGGTCACGCCTACCAACTCACAATATGTGAGGAGGGCATATCACTGCCTCCGAAACTGATAAATCTTCAAATAAAGTGCAGAAACCTTAATTAAGAAATTGGTATATCTATTACTTCTCTATGAATCATACTTTTTTATATGATATGAATCAAAGTTTTTTTTTGGTACAAAAGTTGCAAAACAGAAGTGACATAAATTATCCAATGGTTTTGGTTACCTGGTTGAGAAAATATAATTGGTAAGAACCTAGAAACATAAAAGGTTTGCTTGGATAAGTTTAATATTATTTTTAACTATGCAGCCACTGAACCACTGTGACTGACAAATTGGTTTGTCAATATCACAAGCAATTGCAAAGCGAGATAGCTGTTTTCTTAAATGCTATCATAAAACTAGGAAGTGTTTCCAGGATAATTTCAGTTGATGTAAAAATAAATATTCAATATACAGAACCATACGTGATGTTAGTGGATGCTTATCAATTATTATATCCAGGCCATTTATTTCATTTATGTTCATATTCTCAGGAACCAAATTTGTTTATCAAATTATGGAAATATGGAATAAAATGCCCCAGTTAACCTCTGGCTCAGAGGATAATAATGTTGCTGGGAGTTTATAATTGCAGAAGTTTTATCCAGATTACAAACCAGATTGCTAGGTGCCTCTGTCACTGTCAAGATTTTATTTTTTATTATTATAGGTTTATTTTAATTACAACCCCCTCCTTTTATTAATTAAGCATATGTTTATTAAACACTAGCAGCTTTATTGCATACAATATGCCCATTATAGGAAATTTAGATATTTCAAACCCTAATAGAGTTCAGCATTTAATAAACAAGATATAAAATTGTAATATGATGTGTTAAGTACTGTCTGCATATGTATGCATTTAGAGGCAACTAAATCTTAAAGGGGAGATTGTTTACTTATTTTTATTGTTGTTGAGGATGTAATATTTAAGCTAAAATATGCAGAGGCATAAAGGAATTAAAGATGAAAAGTAATGCCATCAATAGACACAGAATGCTCAAATGCACAGAGATAATTTCATACTCAGAAGCCTAAGAGAAGAAAGAAGCAATGAATCTGCTGAGTAACTAGAGAGGCTGATCCTAAAGACTTTTTCTTGCTTACTAAATAAATTTGGATTATTTCCTAAAAGTACTGGGAAACTATTGAAATATTTTGGAAATAACTTAGATTTTTAGCTGCGACATTAGACATGGCCAGAAAGGGACATTCAAGAGACAGTGAACAGGTAAGTGTGAAAGAACGTAGTGACCAGTTGCAAGGGGTGGGTAAGCAAGTAAAGAGGAGATAATGAGGTCTCCCTAGTTTAAGACTTGGGTAACTTGGTAAGTGATGTTGATGATAATATTAGAGATACAAAGTATAGAAAAAGAAATCTCTATGGGGATGATGAATTCTGCTTAAGACATGCAATATATGAAGTACCAGTTGCATAGCGCAACTCAGATTTGCTATAACCATAATTTGGAGAATGTGGGATAAGGATAAGTGAGCCTCCTCCTGTGAGGCTGTTTTATATCCTGGGTACTGTTGTTCAGCTGGCCTATCTTTTGAGCACATATGTGTATATTAACATATAGATATGTTTATGTGTAATTAAGGAATATGTATCTGTTTATAACTATATACTTGGAGCCAAGTATACTGGCTGGCACTCAGCAGGAACTCAATACCAATATGCTGAATGTATGTGGGGATCCACCCAGTGGTTTTCCCTAAGAAGGATTTTGCTGACTGTCTTGGTACAAGTTCTCTTGCTTTGATTCCAACTTAAAAGAAAAGAGCTGACTCATCATTCAGTATTCTCTCTCTCATAGGGTACGCTGGCATCTTCACTGAAGTATCTGCTAATCTCTTTACTAGAACCTCTGTTCACAGTTTGAAGAGGTTAATTTTGCTTCACTCAAAATTGAAATATTTTCCTGTGAATCTATCCATTCTAGCATGTCCTTTCTTACCTGTGATGGTATAGATTTTATCCCAGGAGAACCTTACAAGTTTATGTGATGAGCATTCATTCCAGGAACTCTAATGCTGTTTCCATTTTTATGACCAATATGCTTTGACCTCCTTTCTGTTCCAGAACAAAAGGAGAGCACAGAAAGGGTGGATATTTTATCATAATACTTCTTCAAGGCCTTGAAATTGCATATTGCCTCCTATATGCTACCAAGGCCTATGCTATGAATGGAATCTTTACTCTTAAACAGATCAACAACAAAAACCATACCCAGTGTCTTGTACCCTTAAGGCAAAAGGCATCCTGGGCAATCCCTCAACTCACTTTTTGCACACTCACAAATATTCTATCTCTCAGTACTAAAGATTTATCAATATTCAACTCTGGGACATGTGGGAACACCCATTTATAGATGGTCTACTAAATGGTCCACCAGTATTCTTATTTAGCTTAGTGTTTATGTGACTCCATATATCACTGCTTAAAATTTAATCTTTAGGTTATCTGCAGAGCACATTTAGTAAAAGAAAAATAGCAATTTGTCTTTTAACTATTATTATGAATAATGTTGTACAGTACAAAATTAAAAAAAGACTGTTTTCATAAGCTAATAGTTGTTCTTCCCTCTGATCTGTTAATAATTAGTCAATCCATCATTAATGGCAAAGGCAATTCAGCATTCCTCCATGTGTTGCACATGGGTGTAGACAGGTATTAACTTAGAAATTGAAAATGTCTTCTGTGGATCTAATTATGCTGAAAATATTTGTTTATAATAGTCCTTTTACACAGTATTTACTGCCCACTTTATTTTCTTTGTTCCCACCCAGAAATCAAACCACAGAATTTAGGTTGGATAGCATGTTAGGTTTGGGAGCTGTTGTAGTAGTTAACCAGCACCCTCAAAGCATTACTCAGTTTCAGCACATCTAGAAGCATAAGCATCGGTAATTTTGGCTAATGTATGTCAGCTGAACTAAGTAAGCATAAAAACATGTCTGACATTTAGGAAAAGAAGAGCCACCCACTCTCTTACTTAAGTATATATATTAATAATGTTTCTCAGCAATCATGTTACACATGCACAGTGACTTCTAGCAATGGAGCTTTGCTTCTCGCTCTTGGGTTTTCACGTCGGCTGGGGTTGTGTTCATGTCTGCTCCATGTGCACTTCATCCTGGACCAGCAGCTTCTCCAGGAGTGCTCTTCTCGTGGCGATGATAAACATGCAGTGCCCTAGGCCAAATCTCACAAGTGTGAGCCTCTGTCATGAAAACTAGGAAAGGGTGAAGGAAAGCCAGGGAAATGAAATTCAGGCTGTAGAAGCATCACATCCCAGGCTGTTATATCTGCAAGAACACAGAAAGTTAAGGAGAGTCTCAGTGTAGTTGATGGTGGCAAGAACCAGAAGACAGAGGACAATGAGTCTCATGTCAGAAAACTCAGAAAGGAATGGATGGCTAGGCTGTGCATAAAAGAAGAACAACAACAATATCTTAACTGTTATCTCCTTAAAAGGTCTGAAAAATTGGAAACCAGTCTATTAAACAGAAATAAATAATAACACAGCACCAATTACTAGTAACTTAAAAGATGTGGCATATCTTTTTAGTATGCTATTTTTAATTGTTTCAGTGAATTTAAAATATTTATAACTACTTTAATGAGTTTTATTATTCTTTTCTTCAAGTTACTTACCCAATTTCTCCTTCTAAATGGTTCCTTAATCTCCTATCTCCTATGGTTTGGGAACAACTACAACCTTAGGAAATCCTCTTTATTATTCTGACATAAAATTCTTTAGGTCTTATTTTGCCATGCAATTTTTATATGGCTATCTTATTATTCCAATTAAAATTTAACTTTAAGTCAGGCAATGTGTGACATCCTCTATGGTATCTAGAAGAGAGCTCACAAGTTAGGTGTGAAGAAATTTCTATAAATAAGTATGTACCATATCAATGAAATTCATGAGTTCTGGGATTTGTAAATTGGACATCTCAAATGGAAGAACAGAGTAGATGGCTCACACCCCCTTTTCCCATTTTCTACATTTTCTGTTTTTGAACAAAATCATCTTAGTTTTTCCCAGCATCAGACATTCACTTGTATAAGATTGAATTTACAAAAAAATGAGATTCATTCGAAAACTCAGGATAAAGCAAAATTCAAGGAGAAAATGAAAATCTGTTCTACCATAAATCCCTCCACAACTAGAGAGATACATATTGACTTTTTTGGTAGCAGAGACTTACGTGACAGGTGTTTATGCCTGAACTGTTCCACAGATAAATGGAAGACTTTATTCTCAAGTGATCCTGGCATACTCATGTGGAAAAAGCAAAAACATAATTGAAAGAACGTTATTTCATTCTCCTATTTTGGTAAGTTAAGAAACAAAGGGAACTGTTTGTAACTATTTCTTATATTTTGAAAGCCAGGTGTGACAGTTGACATTATTTACTAGGACTGAGTTTATAAAGCAGACCCAATAGAGGCTGCTTATTCATTGTGAGACATCATGCCTGCAGCTGCCTCCAGGTAAATGGTGACTTGTCTTACAATGCATAAACCAAGTAGTTAGGCTCTGCGCCAAGCAGGACTTGAAAAGACTTATAGAAAGCACATGGTTCCCATTCAGATGTGCTTTTATTTTTTAAAAAGTACTAAAATAATTATTGCATTTATTCTTTTTATGTTTTATTTTTAATTGACACATAACAATTGTACATATTTATGGAGTACACTGTGAACCATAAGAGATAGTTAACATAAGGAGGAATACATTTAAATAAATGCAATATTTAGGTCTCATGGATTTTTAGAATTGTAAGCGAAATTTAAGGTTGCTTAGGTAACACTCTTCATTTTAAATATTAGACTGTGGAAGTCAAGAGGGATTAAGAGGTTAGTTTTTCTCAGTTTAAACTTTATTCCCTTCCCCTTGTTGCAGATTCTAAATATGCGCTTTTCAAATTGAGGGGCGACCACATCAACTGGCTACAATTGTCCCCTCTGTGATTTTTGTTGTGTTTTAATGCTCCAGGCTGGATCTCTTCTGCTACTTTAAAGATTTCAAATGAGACCCAATGCTTGAGAAGAAAATTTGATGTTTTAGAAATCATTTTCATTTCTTTTGATGGGAAAATAATTTCTTTATACACTTAATTTCATTACCTGAAACACTTGTCAAAGAATGACTGAATCTTATAAGACAATTACTTGACTTAGTTGTTTCAAGGAAATCTATTGAGTTGGAATATCAATCTACATATTATTTGAAAGCTTGAACAAGAGATCCTGATATAGATCCCTATTTAAAAAGTACTGGTTAAGTCCAACATCCTTTTATCAAAACAGTGGGATTTAAAATCCAAAGTATTTTTTGATTTTTTTTTCTTTATGGCCATTCTTGCAGGAGTAAGGGGGTATTGCATTGTGGTTTTGATTTGTACTTCCCTGATCATTAGTGACATTGAGCATTTTTTCACATATTTGTTGGCCATTTGTATATTTTCTTTTGAGAATTGTCTCTTCATGTCCTTATTCTACTTTTTGATGGGATTGTTGGTTTTTTTTTCTGGCTAATTTGTTTGACTTCCTTGTAAAGTCTGGATATTAGTCCTTTGTCAGATGTATAGATTGTGAAGATTTTCTCCCAGTCTGTGGGTTGTCTGTTTACTCTGCTGACTGTTCCCTTTGCTGTGCAGATAAGTCCCATCTATTTATCTTTGTTTCTGTTGCATTTGCTTTTGGGTTCTTGGCCATGAAATCTGTGCCTAAGCCAATGTCTGGAAGGGTTTTTCTGATGTTATCTTATAGAATTTTTATAGTTGCAGGTTTTAGATTTAAGTCCTTGATCCATCTTGGATCGATTTTTGTATAAGGTTCAGTTTCATTCTTCTGTATGTGGCTTGCCAGTTATCCAGCACCATTTGTTGAATAGGGTGTCCTTTCCCAACTTGATGTTTTTGTTTGCTTTGTTGAAGATCAGTTGGCTTTAAGCATTTGGGTTTATTTCTGAGTTCTCTGTTTTGTTCCACTGGTCTGCATGCCTATTTTATACCAGTACCATGCTGTTTAAAAAAATCCAAAAATAATAGATGTTGACATGGATGTGGTGAAAAGGGAACGCTTCTACACTGCTGGTGGGAATGTAAACTAGTACAACCACTATGGAAAACAGTGTGGAGATTCTTTAAAGAACTAAAAGTAGAACTACCCTTTGATCCAGCAGTCCTACTACTGGGTATCTACCCAGAGGAAAAGAAGTCATTACATGAAAAAGATACTTGGACACAAAAGTTTATAGCAACAAAATTCACAGTTGCAAAAATATGGAACCAGCCCAAATGACCATCAATCAATGAGTGTGTAAAGAAATTATGAGATAGATAGATAGATAGATAGGTATGGAATATACACTCAACCATGAAAAGGAATTAATTAATGGCACTCACAGCTATCTGAATGGAACTGGAGACTATTATTCTAAGTGAAGTATACAAGGAATGGAAAACCAAACATCATATGTTCTCACTCATAAGTTGGAGCTAAGCTATGAGGATACAAAGGCATAAGAATGATACAATGGACTTTGGGGACTCCGGAGGAAGGATGGGAGGCGGGTGAGGGATCAAAGACTACAAATTGAGTTCAGTGTATACCGCTCGGGTGATGGGTGCACCAAAATCTCACAAATCACCACGAAAGAACTTACTCATGTACCAAATACCAGCTGTTCCCCAAAAACCTGTGGAAATAAAAAATGTTAAGTTTCTTGTGCGTCCGTGTGAAGAGACCACCAAACAGGCTTTGTGTGAGCAATAAAGCTGTTTATTTCACCTGGGTGCAGGCGGGCTGAGTCTGAAAAGAGAGTTAGTGAAGGGAGATAGGGGTGGGGCCATTTTATAGGATTTGGGTAGGTAAAGGAAAATTACAGTCAAAGGGGGGTTTCTCTGGTGGGCAGAGTGGGGGTCACAAGGTACTCAGTAGGGGAGCTTTTGAGCCAGGATGAGCCAGAAGTAGGAATTTCACAAGACAATGTCATCAATTAAGACAGGAACGGCCATCTGGATGTGTACATGCAGGTCACAGGGGATATGATGGCTTAGCTTGGGCTCAGAGGCCTGACATTAAGATAATAAAATAAAACAAAATCTGAAAGTAAAATTGTTTGCCCAGTTTTTAAACAAACCCAGTAGTAGTTTTGTTATATCTAGAATTACCCCATCACTGTAAGGCTGCTTTGTTTTTTTAATCTCTTTTCCTCTGAACAACCCTGACAAAAATCGGATGGAAACTGACATTTTCCTTTCTCAACCATGCTCATCCATGCAGCTTTGACATCTACATGAATGGTTAATATCATTGATTCTTGTTATTCCTGTATCTATTATGCTCTCACATGCAAGGATCTTCATGTTCTTTGCCAGGATTCCCAGAAAGATGCTCCCTTTAATATTAACTGGTCAATTTTGATAATGGAGTTGATTTTTCTTTAACGTTTATAATCACTGTAAACTTCTTGACAAGATGGTGCTATTATAACACTGACTGTTTCTGCCGAAAGAAGAATGTTCAGTACTAAGACATTTCTGCCAAACGTTACTACAACTTTGAAAAGCCCTTCCTCTGGCTTGCTAGGAAGCTCATTGGAGACCCTAACTTGGAGTTTGTTGCCATGCCTGCCCCTGCCCCACTGGAGGTTGCCATGGACCCAGCTTTGACAGAGCATTATAAGCATGACTTAGAGGTTCTTCAGACAACTGCTCTCCCAGATGACGATGATGACCTGTGAGAATGAAGCTGGAGCCCAGCATCAGAAGTCTAGTTTTATATGCAGCTGTCCTGTGATATCAGCGGAGCAGGGTATGGGCCACCTTATTATTATCTAGCTAGGTGGGGCATGTGGTTCATCTGTGGGATGCTGAAGGAGATGAGTGGGCTTCGGAGTGAATGTGGCAGTTTGAAAAATACCTTCATTGTTTGGACCTGCATATTGAGCTGTTTTGGAATGCAGTTGATTCCTTCTTGAGTTTCAAATGTAAGACTGCTGCAATCACATTAGTGAATTCAGGGGTGAGATCTTGTTACTGCCATTTCTACTCCTTTTCATTTAGAATCAGAATAAAGTTGTATTTCAAATATCTTTTTAAAAATATATTTACATTATATGTGTATATATACATATATGTATATAGTATATGTATAAATTTACATGCATATATATACATATATGTATATGTGTGTTTACATATGTATATATAAAATGTATATAAACATATATATATTTATACATATATATGACACATATATGTATAAATATATCTATGACATTAGACATAATGTATTTCTATATCTAATGTCATGCATATATTTATACATATAATAGATATATAAATACATATATATTAATGTCTACATTTGACATTACATATGCATGTCACTTGAAAATTTGTGTATATAAAATATATGTATAAAACTCAATTCAAAGATATGTTTCCAGTGATGGGTCTTGTCAATGTAGACATTTAAAATGATATTTGGGAATTACTGATGTTATTTTAAGAGCTTGGTATGTCAGAGATTTTCAAATGGAAGCAGTTGCTATAGTAAATATGGATTTTCTCCTAATTAATTCAGACATTAAAAAGTTACTAATTGCCTACTTTTTTCCTAAATTGCTTCTGGAATATAAATATTTATAATCTTCATAATATTCCCATCTGATAAAGGTTAGGTTTGATTTCACTTTCTTTCTAAAACATCTGAGCATTTTCAGGCTCTAACTCCAAAAGAACAAAACTCGTGAAGATTTAAAATATTTTAATAGATTATATTGGAATTCCATTTCCATTATATTGAAGTTACTTTTTCCATTGCTATCATATTAGGAAAATTAAATTTATACATGTTCTATACTTAAAGTTAAGTTTTAGAAGTATCTTTTCCCTAATTGTTATTGAGAAATTAATTTTAATACACTTTTCATCTTTCCAACAGACTACTGCAAACAAATAATAAGCTAGAAGTTTAGTTTATTCCCTTTCCTAAAGCTCTTCTATAAATATTGACTCCAGCAATGGAAAAAGCAAAAGTATAGTCAGCATTCTGTATCATATATGACATATAGAATATAGAATAGGCTATACCATCAATAAGATAAATCAGTGCCTTTATAAGACCAAATGAGTATATCAATCTCAGATTAAACAATGCAAAGCACTTCGTTCAAGTGGCATTTTCACCCTTTCAAATAACTCCACTAAATATATAATACTCATGAACACTAATAAAATAAAAATATATGTGTTACTCTTCTGTATATATCTGTAAATTGGGCTCCAAACACTACATTTTCCATTTATCTATACGACTCTAATGAAAGCATCTTGGCTTAAGAAAACTAATAGATCTGAGGTGGTAAAGTCTTTATTATTGAATCACAGAACTTTGCCTAAATGCGAAGTTCTAGCTTCAAGTTAAAAAAATTTATAAATATTTCAACATTTAATTTAGATACAGCAGGTACAAGCACAGGTTTGTTAAATGGAAATATTGCATGATGCTGAGGATTGCAGTATGGATCCTGTCACCTAGGTAGTGAGCATTGTACCCAATAGGTAGTTTTTCAATCAACGCCCTCCCTCTTTCCCCTCTCTAGTACTCTGCAGTGTCTACTGTTCCCATGTTTATATGTTCATGTGTGTCCAATGTTTAGCTCTTACTTATAAGTGAGAACACGCGGTATTTGGTTTTCTTTTCCTGTGTTAATTTTCTTAGGATAATGGCCTCCAGCTCCATCCATATTTCTGTAAAGGACACAATTTCATTAAGGAAGGAGGGAAGGAAGGAAGGAAGGAAAGAAGGAAGGGAGGGAGGGAGGGAGGGAAATCTAGAGGAATGGATAAATTCTTGGAAGCCCACAATCTGCCAAGACTGAACCAGGAAGAAATTCAAACCCTGGATAGACCAATATCAACTTCTAAAACTGAATCAGTAATAAAGTTTGGGTCTTTCTTAAAATTTCTATTTTGCCTTTCAGCTCTTAAATGATATTACTGGATTGCTTGGTTTCCTTGAATTGAATTTCAACGTTTCCCTGGATCTTGATGTGCTTTCTTGCTCTCCAGATTCTGAATTTCATCTGTCTGTCATTTTATTAATAGTTATTTAAGATTGCTTAAGAACCATTGCTGAGGAGGTAGTGGGCTCGTTTGGGGGTAAGGAGGCACTCTGGCTTCTTGAATTTCCAGAGTTCCTGTGCTGATTCTTTCTCATCTTGGTGGGTCTCTGGTCCTTTAACTGTGGCAGAAATTGAGTATAGTCAGTTGACTTCATTTCTGGACATTTTCAGAAGGCCACACAAGACTCTGTGCAGGGGTTTTTGTTTGCTGTTGAATTCTTGTCCTTGGCTTCCAAGGCGGGTGAATGGTTTTGTGGTGGTGTAGTTTGGGGTGCAATCCGTAGATGGTGCTTTAGAGCTATGGGTGGTAGATGGATACTCAGCGCTGGGGACTGTGTATCCTCGCGTGTGCAGCTGTGCTCTGAAGTGTGAGGGGGAGAGGGGTAACCCCCTCACCAGTTCCACTAATAGGCCTTCGGAAGCCACTGCTGATCACCGGCACTGTGCCGTGGCTTTGTTTGTTTGTTTGTTTGTTTGATGTTTCTGGCTGTGGGCTTCCCTGGGGCAGGTGTTGGGCAGGGGGATAGACCACGCCCTTACTGGGCCAGCTCTGTGGAAGGAGGCATTCCAGGTGCCACACCAGCCTGTGAACCTGTGCATCTCACCCTTCTGAGTGTGGGCTCCTCTCCTACTCAAGTTCCGAGCACAGGTACCAGCTCAGCACTCCTGAGCCATAGGATCCAACCCTGCAGTGCCAGAACCTGCTCACGGCTCCCTCCTCTGGACTGGGTTGGGTTGGGTTCTGGGTGTGCTGGGGATCTAAGGGGCCGCAGGCTGCCAGAACACACTCCAGTGGAACACAGCACCCAGGCTGGGCAGCAGACGCTTCACTGTGCATGTGCTGCTGCGGGGCAGCCAGGCAGGAGCCCTGGGAGGGGCTGACAGGCAGGCGGGGCTGCGGGACAGATGTGCCTCAGTGCCGTGGGGAAGCTCGCCCTGCTTTCTCCCAGTCCAGGAGTTTTCTGGGGCCAGGGCCTCTCAGAGGGAGATGGAGAGCCCTGAGAGACGGGTGCCTATAGCTGGGCTCTGTCAGATCTGTTCCACACACAAATGTCCCCAGCTCCATGTCTGCTGAATCCCCGCCTCTATCAAATCTCCCAGGAGATGCCCCTGCCAGCTCAAACATCCATTGGGGTTTTGGGGTTCCCTGCAGCTAGGATCCCAGAAGTCTGCATGAGCGTGGGCTGTCCCCCAGGCTCTTCACTCACCCCTTCCTCAGGAGCCATTTGAGGCCCGGAATCAGCTTTAGCATTCAGGCACCTCCCACAGGGCTTCCAGCCTCCTCTTGCTTCAGCCTTAGCATCTGCGTGTTTTCTTCATCCACATTCGGTATTTTCTCTCTGAAGATCTTTTTAAATTACAGTGGTTTAGAGGTGGTAGCGGCCCTTCCTGGCTGCCTCTAGTTGGCCATCTTAAAACTCCTCTCCTGAAAAGAAAATGTTATGGAAACATGAGGAGAACAAATGCCTGCAAGGAAATCAAAACAGTGCTGTGACACCATTCAGTGTCAGCTACACAAAAGACCAAAAAGTGAAGCTACCTGTAATAGACTAGAATCTGTTGGTTAACCAAATGGTACAGAGGTCAGTTTACTTACTCCTAACTGGTAAATTCAGTTTATAGGTACAGTGTTTCAGTGGGACTTAAATCATGTAGTTGGTTCAGCTTTGTTATGAGGATCGTGAAATACCTCTGTAATAATTTCATTTCTGCCTTCTCCAAATATACATGTGGTATATGTCATGTAAATTACCTTATATATTTAAGAAACCAAATAAGAAGTTTCGAGCTTGGAATAATTCATGTGAGCTAACTAGTTTCTGATTAAAATAGCATCAGGAAACTGAGTCAGGCATTTTTTTTTTCATTTGCCATTCCCTGTAAATTGGGTATTACATCGTGATCATGAAACTTACCAGTGAAATATGTTCTATGAAAAAAACGAGAATACCTGCAATTAAATAACTCAAAATGCCATTCATTTAAAACACATTTATTATATGCCCAGAATTTTCAAGATACTATGCAAGACACTGTCGGGAATACAGAGATGATTAACATGATGTTTCTGCCCTCTCTGGATATGATCTTCACTAATACTGGTTCATTGTAATTTCCACTTTTATTACCTTTCTTAATGATGATATTCTCAGTCGGTGATTTTGAAGATAAGCAGATTTCTCGATGACTATTTAATGCATACCAATAATAGCTTTATTTTTGTTATGTCTGGGTAAAGAAACAAAGGTTTATTTCTTTTCCTTGACATTTATAGCATCCTATGTATCTGTGTTCCATGAAAGGTTACCTAAATCACATTTATTCCAAATGGGCAATATTTAACTTTAAAAATGTCAAAGGAAGGGTACAATTCTCTGTAGGGCAATATTGAATTGGTTGACTGAATGATAATTATGGAATAATGCATTATGCATTCTCTTTTCATTTCAAATATTGATTAATATTATTGATTCTAAAACTCATTTAATCTGTTATTCAGTAGAATCATTGCCATATACTCACTTACCTTTTAATTTTGATGTTGATAATTAATTGAATCAAATATTTTTTCAGAGTCATTTGTAACTTCATGGTTATAATTTCTCAATTCATGTTAATGTAAGCTTTGTAAGATATGCCATTGTTCAGGTAATTATGTATAATTAGGCACAAAGAGAAAATAGTTACCTACCTTTAAAAAAAAGCCATCAAGATTTTTCAGTTGAAAAATTGAGCTAAAAACAGAATTAGAAAGATTTCTTGGAGCTAAACTCAAGGATCTAAAATG
Source organism: Homo sapiens (assembly GCF_000001405.40). Taxonomy (NCBI): domain Eukaryota; kingdom Metazoa; phylum Chordata; class Mammalia; order Primates; family Hominidae; genus Homo; species Homo sapiens. Next base: position 147,172,756 of record NC_000007.14, read on the forward strand.
AAGGATGAGCTCAGGACATTTTGTAATTTAATATTGGACTCATATGCACGAGTTCCTTGCAGGAGCTACTCCCACTCCTAGTCTTGACTACAAGGGCAGGTGAGATAATATCTGCATTGTTTGGTATATTTAAACCCTGCTTCTTTAAGTGTTATCATTTACCACAAAATATCGTAATATAACTGTCACAGAAAGACAAATCAAGAAGAAAGGAAAGAAGAAAGAATACATATTGATTGTCAGCATTAACACACAGGCTATAATTTGATGTAATATTCAACTCTATACTTTATGGCAACCAAGATACACAAGAAAACACAACATTTACATAGATCTTCTCAAAAAGAAAGAACCATACCTGAAGAAATAAATGTGTCTTGATGGTATTAAAGTCTGCACTTTCTCACTTGAGTCCTAAAACAGGGAAATGAGCATTATTCCCAACAACTATAATAACATATTTAAAAATGGATTTCTTAAATCTGATGACAAATGTTTAGAACTACCATTTACATAAGCCAAGTCCTACTTTTTTTTTTTAACAAATCCTTTCTCCTGTCTCCTCCAGATGCCATTGCCATTTTAAATTTCCTGACTGACAATCTCCCAACTTCCCAAAAAGTGTTTATGAAGTACCTAAGAAACAATTTGAAACTTATAATGAGATCCAGAACTAGTACTGACTTTGAATCCATTGTATGGAGGGAATGTTATTACCTATAAAGCAGATGAGATTAGATTTATAAAAACAAATGGGGATCATCAGGATGTTGCTACCAGAAAGAGACCCAGCTGGCATAGACACCTGTTAGTAAAAGGAAAAACATTTTGTGTATTTCGTCTACTGACCCCCACTTCAGAAATGCTCGATCTGTATAAACCGTACAACTAGACAGGCATTCACCTGGTGGATGCTGATATTCTGAAGTAGCCAGAGTGATTTCTCCACCCTAAATAAAACTTTCTTCCGAATTTCATTCAGAGATGACAAAAATGAGGAAGTGAAGTGGGATGGGGACATCACAAGTGGGACATTGCATCCCGGGAAGCAAGGGGACTCTGCACACGTTGCTGCTAACTGCAGCGGCACCTGAGGTGGTTCTGACCGCTGTAAACTCTGTCACAGAATTGGGGAGTGAGTATACATGGAGAAAATTTGTTTTGAGTACAATTTCATAACCAGAAAATGATACAGAATCATGTAAAACACCCTATAATTCAAGGGCATCAATAGCAAGCATAGGGAACTGATTATGCCTAAAACAGAGGCAGGTCCTCTATATTCCTCCCTCTGAATCATGTATGTCCTCAAAAATGTCCCATCAGCACAAAAAAACCAGCAAACCACAGTCCATCCTGATAGCCTCCTTTTTCATATTAATAGCAGCATTATACTGTAGTTTTTCTGTCTCAAAAACTGAATTTTTTAAAACTTTCATTTTCTTCCCTATATCTGATTACTTGTCACCTCCCTCCCAAACTCCCTTACATATGTAATTGTCTTTTCCCATGGTCACCATATCCAAGTTCTGATTACCTTTTAATAAAATGAATGAATTAGCTTCAACAATGCAATTTCTTATCCAGGTATCCATTCTTTCAATCCTTCCTAATTTTGACATACCTGTAGTAGTTTCAAAGCACAGATCACATCGTGACACTCCTGCTTATCATTTTCAATACTACTCCATTGCAAATATTAAGAAAGCAAAACTGAGAGCCAGACAACACCCAACAGATATTGTCTCTCAATCCTTACATTCCCATGAAGAAAGGATATATGTAATAAGAGAGAAAGGAACCGTGACTTAGAAACTCTATAAAATATAATCCACATAGATTATACATATGCTTATGGTGATATTACTATACTGACTTTACGGTGCTTTCTAGAATTTAGACTCTGGGCCATTTTGGCAAAATAAGGAGCCTGCAGACTGCTTATGCCTTTGAAGAGAAAAAAGAATGTGAAAGATGTTATTTTTGTGATACATCAAGAGAGAATATGATAATTAATATTGTATTTTTATTCATGATGGAAATAAAAATAGGCAAACACTATATATGCTGTAAACCTTTGGAGTACTCCTTTGTCGCACTGGGAACATGGTAAAATATATAATTTTTTCATAGATAGATCGCACTATAAGAGACAATAATAATGGAAACTGTCATAGTTCCCTGAAATTCAAGTTGAAATACTATTTACATCAACCATACCGCCGACTCCATCATAATGAGGAAACATCTCAGGGATTATTAATGGGGTAAATTTCACTATATAGAGAAAAAAGACAGATAAAAACATGTATATGCCCAAACTTCATTTGAAAGGAGGGCATGTAGGGAAAGGTAGATTAACAGCTGAACTTCATTAGCCATTTACAGAAAAGTTAAATATTATATCTAGGATACATTTGTCTTAAATCACCCAGGATTAAATCTTCCAAGATTAAGGATTTCATCTAATCAATTTCACCTAATTGAAATATGCAGCCCTTCTGCTCTTTTTTTGTAACTCCTATATTCCCTCCTATCCTTTAAATTATTTTTCATTTAAACCATTCAGCAGTTTAAACCATTCTAGACTACTCTGGCCTGAAGTACTTCATCAGAAATCTTTACACTTTAGCTTAAATATTCATTTAATAATGAACAATTCATCTTCTATTAAATGCTACTACTCAATTTTTGTTTCAAACTATATGTACATTTCTTGTTAGGCATAATTTTATATATTTATTAATTGGTTTCCCTTCCAAGACACAGAACCTGCCCTTCCCTCCCAGTGAAACCACTATGAGGTGAAAAATAGTGTTGAAGAAGGAAGAGGGACACAGAGAAAGAAATAACTTCACACATCTATTTAAAGATGGCCCTGAGGTCCACCCACAGCATCGCAGGGATGAGTTCATGAGGGAGTATGCAGCCACAATACCTCTTAACTCCCCATGACTTCCTTGAGCTTCCTTGTGTGGGAGTAGAAGGTTGATGGAATGGTTAGCCTTTCCTGGTATCTGTGTTCATCATGGTTCTCAGCAGATCCAGCTGCATAAAATGTCTCTATCTGTTAGGATCAATAAAACAAGCTCTCTAACTGCTCTATAATCAGCATCAATTTGCGAACCTTTATCAAACTTCCCCCCTCTTTTCACCAAGTATTCAGGATGACATGATGAACAACTGGACCAATGATTGGTCAAACATATCCTAATATCAAATACTGGCAGTTACCTGGAGTAAAGAAGGACATTTTGTGTGTCCCTACTTTAAACGAGATCCTTAAAGCTTTTTGTATGGCTGGTCTGAGTATTTAACAGAAGTCCCGTACTCATAAGGATGGCTAGACCTGAAAGGAGCCTCTCACCTGCAGGGTAATGATTCGGTTTAATGAGGACCTTTTGGAAGTTACTTGGCTCTAAGGCCAGAAAGCCTAACTGAGATCAAGACATAATTGAATAGGAATTGAAGATCCATTTACCTCATCAGTTGGAAAATAAGCATTTTTCAAAATAGAGAGATAATTAAATGTGGTCCCTTCAGTGCTACGGATTAAGTTAGTATTATAGTTTTAATATACATTTCAAACAGTTTCCCTCTTATTCTGTCATAGGACATTGCAATTAATTTAATCAACCTTTAAACAGACATTTACCAAGAATTTATGATAATTTAGATATTGTGCAGATGGATGTTCAATGACTTTTTCTTCTTAAGTCAAAATATTTAAATTCTTCAAAATAGAAAATGTGTAATATGTGCTGCATATTATATGCCTTTTTCCTCTTTCCCAGAATGCCTTTTACTAGTTTTGTGAAATAAACAAGATAGATTATATCTTATATACATATGTATAATATACTTACATACACACGTATAATATAATATTTATAATATAATAGAATTATATTCTGTATTTTATATAATATATAATAGAATTATATATTATATATAATAGAATTATATATTATATATAATAGAATTATAATTATAATATATAATTATAATTATATAGAATTATATATAATTATAATTATATATTATAATATATAATAGATATAGAATAATTATAATATATAATTATATATTATAATATATAATAGATATTATAGAATAATTATAATATATAATTATATATTATAATAATTATAATATATAATTTTAATAATATAATATATAATAGAATTATAATTCTAAATATAATTATAATTCTATATATAAAATTATAGATATAATTCTATATCTATAATTATATATAATTCTATATAGAATTATATAATATATAATAGAATTATATTCTGTATAATACATACACACGTATAATATAATAGAATCATATTCTGTCATCTTTTCACTTCAGTCTATCTCTTTCTGTGTCATTTTACTCCTTTACAAAGACCATATCTTCTTTAATCCTGCTGAGGGAAGCAACTTAAAAATAACTTTGATATGGTTTGGCTCTGTGTCTTCACCCAAATCTCACCTTGAATTGTAATAATCTCCACATGTTAAAGGTGGAACCAGGTGGAGTTAATTAAATGATGGGAGCGGTTTCCCCCATGCTGGTTTCCTGATAGTAAGTTCTCACGAGAGCTGATGGTTTTGTAAGGGGCTTCCCCTCTTTGATTGGCACTCATTTCTCTCTCTTGCTGCCCTGTGAAGAGGTGCCTTCCGCCGTGATTCTAAGTTTTCTGAGGCCTCCCCAGCCATGCAGAACTGTGAGTCCATTAAACCTCTTTTCTTTATAAATTACCCGTTCTCAGGTATTGCTTCATAGCAGCATGAGAACATACTAATATGTACTTCTAGCTTCTGTAGTCAATGATTTCTGGATACATACTCTTCTTCTAACACTTTAAGATAATATTCCTTTCTCTTCATTTAAAAATATGTAGGCAACTTCATATTCTTCTCTTCAAACCAAAATATAGGGGAAACTGCATAGACTTGGTGTTTGTTGGTAGGATGGATTGCTTTCTGCTTGCAGTATGTGAAGCCCATTCAGGGTTGAGGGAGATCCAGTTTCAGCACATGGGTAGGCTAATTCACGTAACTCTTACTTCAATTTCTAATATCCAAAAGCAATTATGTAGCACAACCCTAAATGGGTAACTGAGGTGGGATTTTTTTGCTTCTGCTCATATCCACCATACTTATAAAAATTGAAAATACCTTACGTCTAGGCTGTATGATCCTGATCACCCACCTGACTATAATACTTACATGCAGAGAATCCACTAATTTCTAGCTTACCCCTCAACTCTATCTGTGGAAGGCAGAATAATGCCCCATCCGCCCCCCCACCACGAAGATATCCATGTCCTAACTCCAAGAACCTGTGAATGTGTTGCCTTACATGGCAAAAGGGACTTTGCAGATATGCTTAAGATTACAGACCTTGAGATGGAGAGATTATTGGGTTTATCCAGGTGGGCTGAGTGTCATCACATGAGTCCTTCAAAACGGAGACTGTTTATTATCTGTGGTCAGAAAATGATAGGTCAAAGGAAGGAGGCAGAAGAAATCTGAAGTGTGAGAAGGACTCAGTCTGTTACTGCTGGTTTGAAGACAGAAAATGGTGGCCAAGAGCTAAGGAACGTGGACCCCATTTAGAAGGTGGAAAAGGCAAGGAAACAGTTTCTTACCTAGAGCCTCCAGAAAGGAATGTAGTCCTGCCAACACTGGGTTTTAGTCCAGTCTGACTTTTGCTGGACCTCTGACCTACAAATGTGCAAGATAATGAATGTGTGTTGTTTTAAGCCACTAATTTTGTAGTAGTATAACATTCTGGAGTTTAAGAGTCTGAATGGATACTTAAAGATAGAAAGAAATGATACAACATCACTCTGCCCCTCTTACCCAAATACTGTCTATGCCCTAGGAATGGCTACCCTGATTTTCTCATTAGTGCAGTGTCCGGGTCTCTGAAACATGGAGGAGAAAATAATGCAAGAATAAAGTGCCTTTGACCATATTTAAGCTAAGAGAACTGCTCTGTTTTATGACAAAGTAGAGGAATTTTTAATTTCTTGATGTAGGTTATGTTCGACCTTTAGTTTGAAAAAACAAAAACCGTTGATTAAGGCAGTAGTTATTATTTTTAAATTTTTTAGTCACTGTTTGTTAGCATATTCCATCTGTTTTGGCAAGTTCATTGTGGAAAGATGACTCTGTTAGGATTAAGGACTCCAGATAAAGCAGGGGTCTTTCATTTTCATCAGAAGACTGATCAGGGTGCTGGAGTTCAGGGGCTAGCTGAGCACTCATCCCAACTGCAGTGCTGTGGCCTTGTGATTGTCATCTAACCTTTCTGAGACTCCATATCCTTACTTTTTAACTAAGCATACTCTGTTAAGTGCCGTCTTAAGAGTCTTCTAGATTTCTATGCCTGTAATTCCAATAAATTCATTAATTCTTTCAACAATTATATAGTGAACAATTATATATCAAACTTGGAATAACAGCAAAAGGTTCTTCAATTTTAAGAAACAAAATATTAAGACTAGAAGCTTAGTTGGATATTGTGGTATATGCGATAAAGAAAAGTAAAGAGGATGTTATGTTCAAGATTATTGAAAGTGGTTAGGGAAGTCCTCTCTGAGGAGACAATATTATAATGAAACAAGCCTACAGAATTAGAAGCTCCCAGTCTTGCAAATATTGGAGGAAGAAAACTCCAGACAAAGAGGAGGCTAAACACAAAGGTTTTGAAATAAGATTATCTACCAGATTCTAGGAACAAATGGTTGACCTGTACACCCAGGCTTGGCATGTGAGTGAGAATAATATTATTATAAACTTAGAGTGAAACCAGTTGACCCATTTTGTTATCTTTTACAGATAAAATTCACCAAAAGGGTAGGTAATTAGTCTTATCAAAATCGGTTTTATTTACAAATATGAAGGATGGAAGAGTGGGCACAGGAGATGAGAGCCTATATTAAGTAGTTGGTAACTCAGTAAACAATGGAGTCTAGGCCAGACAAGGAGGGAGAGAAATATAGGAAAACTCCAGTGGTTTTGGGAAAGAGGATAGATTCAAAACAAAAACTTTAAAGGGTTACAATGATAGTTATATGGGTACTAGAGTAAGTGATCTTGAGGACAAGAGGCATTTTTGAGAAGAAAATGTTTGAAATGAAGATGCAAGATGTGCCCCTGCCCCAGGTTGTGACAAAAGTGAATTGAGTCCATAGGAACAGGTGTCAGGGATAGAGGATGCGGTTGTTTGAGGGAGGGTATCAGGACCTGAGAAGCCAAACTTGATGAGTCATTTTACGAAGGGTGACCTGTTAAAGAATACCCAGGAACAGGCCTGGAGTAGTCCTGAAAGAGGGAGGCAGGTGCCATGGACTAAGGGACCAGGAAGGTGCACACAATCTCACAAGACTCCAGCTGCCATCACCCATGTTCATTTCCTTGAAGAAATCATCTTATTCCTTAATTTTTCCCCAATATATAGTTTGAGACTTTCTGATTCTCTTTCTATAAATACAAAGCCCTAGAGATTTTTATTATCTGGTGATCCAACCCTTTTTGGAGTGACTAATCAAAAAAGCACATGACAGTATGCATATTTTATAATTTTGGAAATTACTCTTCCTATTTACATATACTTTGGAGTATATCACAACTCCAATTTAGTACATTTTGTTATTAGATACCAGAAAATCATGAGTTCATACTACAGTCCCTCTGCTGCCCCATTTCCAACTTAAAATAGAATTACCAACTTAAAATAGGAGAAACAAGCTTAAAATAGAAGAAACAAGCCATCACTTAAGTAGATATAGAAATATAGTTGATAAAATTTAACACCTGTACCAGATAAAAATTTAGTAAACTAGAAATAGAGCTTTACCTTAGTAAGAGCAGCCATTAAAAAAATGCATAGTAAATGCCATTGTATATATTAATAATTTCATTTAAAATTAAATATGTGACAGGAATGCCTACTGAAGTTACCTTCATTCAATTTTTAACTAGAGATCCAAGCCAGCATACTTGTACGCTGTACTGATTGAAATGACAATCAAATTAGTGGAATAAAAATGGGAAAAAAGAAAATGAACTGTCATTATTTGCTGATCATAAAATTATTTACATAGGAAGCTACTAAAGAATACAGAGAAAACATTATAAAATAGCAATGGATCAGCAAAATGGTTAATATAAAATTAATATATAGTAGCCAATTGCATTTCTATAACAAACACCTAGAACACAAAATTAAAAATAAATTATAGCTTAAAATATGTCAGTAACTATTTTCAAAATATTTTGAAAAGGAAATGGCAGGGAATATTTCACAGGTGGGAATAGTATATGCATGGGACAATGAGGGCACAATTTGAAGTAAGTCACTATAAGCCAAGAAGCTTCATGATAAAGCTGACTTTAGGAAGGTTAACCTGGAAGCAAAGTAAAATAGTTTGAGCTGGGGGGACAGCAGGTGGCCCAGAGAGACCAGAAGCCGGAGATCCGGGAAAACACATCTCCAAAGGGCACAGAGGCAGAGTGAATGGACTGAACAGGAGAGAATTAGACCTCACACCTTTCTTGAGGAAGGTGGATCTCAGTGCATATTTTAAAGATTAGAATTCACATAGATATATTATTTTACTAGAAAACATTTTCTCATGTCTAAAACTTTTTAAAGCAAAATTACTTAAAATCTTTGGTAAGTTTTAAAAGTTTAGATAATGTAAATGTTTATATACTTTTGAAAAGTAAACTAAGTATTACCTTTAATATTTGTAAACTTTCATAACCTATCACTGATATTTACTAAAGAAGAGAGTTTAACAACACTGAGAAATATTCCAACAGAAAGGTGAACTGTTTTGTTTTTAAGCAGGTGAAGTACAAGAAGTTTGATGGAGGCCATTTTACTTAATTAAAAACTTCATCAAAATGCTGTTTTCACTATCTGAGTTGTCAGAATTTCTACAAGGCTTTTTCATATTCAGTCCTTTCAAAAATATAAAATACTTGAAGGCAGTTCTTTATAGAAGAATTTAAAGTTACATGTCAAATGTAGCTCTTCTTTTTTTAATTACTGAAGCCATATATGGTCAAGAGTAACTTCAGGCTGGCCGCAGTGGCTCACGCCTGTAGTTCCAGCACTTTGGGAGGCCGAGGTGGGTGGATCACTAGGTCAGTAGTTCGAGACCAGCCTGACCAACATGGTGAAACCCCGTCCATACTAAAAATACAAAAATTAGCTGGGCATGGTGGCATGCACCTGTAATCCCAGCTACTCAGGAGGCTGAGGCAGGAGAATTGCTTGAATCCAGGAGGCAGATGATCTCAGTGGCCTGAGATCGTGCCACTGCACCCCAGCCTGGGCAAGAGAGTGAGACTCCATCTCAAAAAAAAAAAAAAAAAAAAAGAAAGTAACTTCCACATTAAACAAGAGAAATAAAAACAAAAGCAAAGTTCTTTGTCTAAGCAAAGCCTGTTAACTCTAATTAACCAGCTTTGCACAGCTGTGATAGTACAGCCCATTAATTATTAATAAGAAAATAATCAATATTAACCTCCTCTTTTTTATTGGTAAATGTTTTTTGGGGTCTTTGTGTTAATTTGTTATTTTTTAAATTACTGTTTTAATAAATTTCATTATAGATGCTGGAGTAATTACATTACCTAAAAATAAGATATAGTCATGTAGCACATTACTTTGAAGAGAAAAATAATATTTGTAACTTTATTAACCCTATACTAAGCACATTAGTTTCATTTTTGAACCTTGAACCTTGGTATTTGATTTGCAGTCCTTTCCAAATATTTAAATTTCCATATTTACTCTCTATTCTTTACTAAACTCTACTCATTGCCTTAGATTGAAACCTAAGTATCTTTTTAAAAAAAAACCCTTTTATGTGGCTATAGAACAGAATTAGGAAGTTTGCTAATCTTGAACCTTGCTTTCTTAAATGGTATTTTTGTTCATTCTCTTCCTAAACTTTATTTTTTTATTATTTCTCTGCTTTACAATTTAATAAGCCATTTTACTGGAGCTTCATACTCTACTTTCTATATCATATAATGGGAATAGTTTTAATGCTTGTGAAGACAGCATGTATTCAGTACACAAAGATGAAAATAATTTAATCATCTTCATACTTATTAGAAATACTTATATTATTCAGTCAGTAACTGTGACTATTGAACTTATCTCCCAAGGATATTATAAAAATAAATGTGATAAGAGCTAAAGAAATTTTTAAAGTCATCAATGATTCATTTTAATCTAATTTCATCACTGGAATTTCTTGAATGTTGTAAGAGTTTATGTTAGTGTGTCATCTAATCATAGTTACTCTAACTGGCTAGCAGCTTAGAACAAGCTTGAATAAGGTTCAAACTAACAGTGGATGACTGCCAATGGTTAGAAAAAAAAAAAGGAAACATTAAGCTACTTCTAATCTAAATTAAAATACAAAAAAATCATTAAAATCTACTTTTATTTTATGTCAAAATTGTATCTCAGATACTCTGATTTTTAAGTCATCAATACTGTTTTGAAAACTGGACAGAAATAGTCACTGGCTAACAGCTAAATAAAGAGATTAATCATAAATAAGCACTATCTTTAAGCAGCTCACAGTCTACTAAAGCCTAATTAAGATTTATAATTAGAAAGTTAAATTATACAGCAAATCTCAGACTTGGAGGAGTCCTTTACACCATCTCGTCCAACCACTCCATGACACAGATGGCCAATCTGTACTTCATTCTCGTTAGTTGCCTTTTCAGCATGCCAGAGCTATTCATTGACATATTCAGCCACTTTGTTAAATAAGTGTGTGTGTGTGTGTGTTTTTCCTTACAAGTTGAGTGAAAAATTAAAATGTAACAAAATAGTGTGAAAGCACTAATCCCCTATTCCCTATTTTCTTAGTCTGAAGCTTGGTGCAAAGGCATCAATATCACGGGCTTGGGATTGGTCACAGTTGAGTTCTGTGACCCTTCTCTGTCACAGACTGACTCTGGGGATAGTCTCCATGGTCTCAGAATGGAGATTACTACCTGAGCTGCAGGAGGGGAATGCTACCTCTGCCTGCTAAAATTGTTGCCACCTCCTATTGTGGCTGAAACATGGTACTTGCCCAGTAAAGTGGTGCCTACTATAGTTTTTATTTCTGTATCAAGCTAAACACAAAGTAAATAATCTGGCAGTAGTGATCAGTGATGCATTGTATTTACTATACATTAAGAAGAATTTGTAGGTCTTTAAAAACATCACAGGGATGTCATCTATTGCAATAAATGAAAATGGGATATTTAATTACCCATTAAAAATTATTAGAAGAAAGAGTGACTATACTTCCCAAATGAGTATTGATAAGCCTGAGTTCCTGTAAAATGGCCTCGGGAAGCTTTGCCTTCATAGCTTCTACATTCTTCACCTGAAATACAAATGTGGGCTGTTCAAAGATACATAGGAAATACTTTACTTTGAAACTGAAATAGGAGCTGGGGAGAAGTGTTTCTCTGGAGGGACTGGATCGCTCCTAAGGCTGCCCAACTTGTGGGTTTTCCAATGCCTGAGGTCTTTACCATTTAAGTCGTTGGATTTGGATTTTCTCTTGCTTTAAATCAGAATTATTTTATCTGAGGCAGACAGAAAAATTCTCAAAATTGAGATGAAGTTTCATCTGATGCATTAAGAGAGTATATAGAACTCTTGTATACTTATATACTCTTACAGACTCTTGTATAAACTATGGCAAAGGATTCTTTAAGACAGAGGCCAGGTAAAGAACAAAATGACTGAACCAGACTGAAAACACAGCCCACACCAGGGACAGGGACTAGTAGCATCAGGTGCAGAATTCCAATCATCTCCTGGCTTGTAGAAATTCAAATTAAGATAGCAACAAGTACACTAAACAGTAATTGTGAGTCAGCACATTAATTGGAGAGGAAATGAGGGAAGGAAAAGGGAAAAAGAGAGAAGTTGGAAGGAGAAGAAAGAAGGGGATGGGAGGAAAGAAAAGAAGGGATCGCAATGTACTTAAATGTCCAAAACGAACCAAAAATGTTAAAGAAAGAACATGTTGGGAAAATTCAACACTTCTAAATGCTGAAAACAATTAACAATGGAAATGTAAAATGCTTGGAACCAAGTGATCCATATCTACTACAAATCAAAGCTAAAACATTGGTACTATTGGGAAAACGTTGGTAATGCCAGCCATGTAAATACTGTCTATATAAAATAACAATAATATCTAACACATAGGGGAGGAAAAAGCCACTTAAATGGGCAAAAATACCCTGTAAACCAGGAGGACATCTAAAATGGTTTATGTGGGGAATGTTATCAGCTAAAACACTTACATTACAAAAGGAAGGCTAAAAATTAATTATACAAATATTAATCTTAAAAAGTAAAAAAGAGCAACAAAATCCCAGGAAAATAGAAAGAAGTAATATAAATAAGAACATTAGATAAATGTTAATAAAAAGACCAAAAGCAAATTATTTCATAAAGACCAATTGGTATAAATATATTCATTAATAATCATAACATCTTTAGATAATTATTTAGCATTATCAAATAAAGTTGAGCTTGCACGTAATCTACAAATCAGCAACTCTACTTCTTTTAGGTATATATACTAGAGAAATTCTTGGATGGAGGCACAGAAAATTTGTATGAATATGTTCATATTAACATTCTCCATAATAATAAAACCTGGAAACAACCAAACTGTTTATATCATTATACTATCAGCAGTAGAATGCTAAATAAATTATGGAATAATCAAATTATAGAATATGACCCAGTGTTAAGACTGAATTAACCACAACTACATACAGAAATAGAGATGAATCTTAGAAATCTAATGTTAAGCAACAACTTTAAAAAACCAAAATTCAGAATAC